>NC_000015.10:89774611-89926126 GCF_000001405.40 Homo sapiens | reverse complement strand
CTCCCGCCACTATGCCTGACCAATTTTTGTATTTTTAGTAGAGACAGGGTTTCACCATGTTGGCCAGGCTAGTCTCGAGTTTCTGACCTCAGGTGATCCGCTCACCTTGGCCTCCCAAAGTGTTAGGATTATAGGAATGAGCCACTGCACCCAACCTACAGTCTATTAATTACATGCACTTGAGGCTCAAAAAGTAAAAGTCATTTATAAAATGTGTGATAATAAAGAGACCATAAATCACCCATGATTTATTAGCTCTTGCTAATATTTTTGCAGTCTTTTTTTTTTTTTAAAGTGGAGATGGGATCTCATTGTTGCCCGGGCTGTCTTAAACCCCTGGGCTCAAGCAATCCTCCTGCCTTGGCCTCCCAAAATATTGGGATTACAGATGCGAACCACCATGCCCAGGCTTTTTGTAGTCTTCATATGTGTGTGTGCTAAAATTGGAATGTGGAACATTCTCTTTTGTAACTGTGTTTTTCATCCAACAGCAAATTGATAATATTTTTGTATGCCATTAATATTCTTTGACAGCATTTAAAATATAGTCATACAATTCTATTACATGGATATACCATAGTTTATTTAAATAAATGACTAGTGTTAAAATTTAAATTGTTTCTATCATTTCCCTATTATAAACCTGCTGGAATGAATATCTTTGCAGCTTGATCTTTGCATCTGTTCCTGATTCTTTGGGGAAATTCACGGGCATGGAATAGTTAAGGCAAGGATATAGTAAAAAAATTAAGGCCTTTGATACCAAAATAGTCAAGTGATCCTCAGGAAAGGTTTGCCAATACTTATTCTGACAAATAAAATACACAAACAACACATGAGTCCATTTTCTCGTATCCTTATCAACGATGAGCTTTATGAGTTTTTAAATCCTTCCTGAAATATCTTATTTCCCTGATGTTTTAATTTGCATTTATCTGATTACAACTGAGATTGAATATTAAGATGTTTTCACAGTTTAAATATTAACTAGTTTTTAATCGAAGAAGTAATTTATGTACATGTTAAAAATATCAAACAGCATAAAAAGTACACTACAAAACATAAGTCGCCTTCCCGCCCTGGAGCCCCAGTCCCCCAGAGGCAGCCACCATAATCAGTTTCTTGTTTCTCCCTCCAGAAATATTATGTACATAAAGAAGCAGGCCAGTCATGGTGGCTCACAGCTGTAATCCCAGCACTTTGGGAGGCCGACGCAGGCGGATCATGAGGTCAGGAGTTCGAGACCAGCCTGGCCAACATGTTGAAACCCCATCTCTAAGAAAGATACAAAAAAGTAGCCGTCATGGTGGCACATGCCTGTAATCCCAGCTACTCGGGAGGATGAGGCAGGAGAATAGATTGAACCTGGAAGGCAGAGGTTGTAGTGAACCGAGATCACGCCACTGCACTCCAGCCTGGAATGCAAGACTCCATCTCAAAAAAAAAAAAAAAGAAGTATACATGCAAGAATAAATGCATTTATATACATATATATACAGTTTTTTATGCACTGAGAACATGTTTTCAGAATAAAATACAAATTCTGAGCCCTGCCTACCACTCAGATCTCATCTATGCTGGACTCCCTAAGAGTCACTGTGCTCCATCAGCCTTATTTCTTTGCGCCCTCAACACTTTACATTGTCTCTTGCCCCCTGGCTTTTGTTCTTGCAGGTCCCAGTGCCTCAACTCAAAAGGCACCTTCTAGAGAGGTCTTCCCTGGCTACCTGTCTCCTGACCACCCCAGTGCACGCAGTCTCTCCCTTCCCCATCCCTTTGTTGAGTTTTCTTCATAGCATCTACCACTGCCTGAACCTCTCTCATTTCTGGGTTGCTTTATTTGTTCATTACCCCTCTCCTCTACCAGGGTGTCTGCCTCATGACAGCTTGGATCTGATCTGTTCGGTTCACCTCTATATCACCTAGGACAGTTCTCAGTAGAGAGGAAGTCCTCCGTTAATATCTTTTTTTTTTTTTTTTTTTTTTGAGATGGAGTTTCACTCTTGTCGCCCAGGTTGGACTGCACTGGCGAGATCTCGGTTCACTGCAACCTGCGCCTCCCAGGTTCAAGCAATTCTCCTGCCTCAGCCTCCTGAGTAGCTGGGATTACAGATGCGTTTCCCCACTCCCAGCTAATTTTTGTGTATTTAGTATGGGGTTTCACCATATTGGCCAGGCTGGTCTCGAACTCCTGACCTCAGATGATCCGCCCGCCTCAGCCTCCCAAAGTGCTGGGATTACAGGCATGAGCCTCTGCGCCAGGCCAATATCAATTAAATAAGTGGCTGCTGAGTACACTGTACTGTACTTTGCTGCTTTCAGTTAACAGTAAGTGAAATCATTTAATATTGTGCATGCACACACATACGTACAGTATGCCATGTATGCACATGCTTCATTCTTTTTTATGGTTGCATAGCCTCTCTTTGAATTGATATTTCATTATTTGTTTAGCCAGTCCCCCACTGATGGACATTTAAGTTGTTTCTAGTATTTTGCTATTTCAAACAATACTCACGTACATGTCATTTCGCATTCAAATATTTCTTTTTTAAATAATTAAATTAATTATTTTTATTTTTATTTTTATTTTGTTTGAGCCAGAGTCCCACTCTGTCGCCCAGGCCGGAGTGCAGTGGCACAATCTTGGCTCACTGAAACCTCCGCTTCCTGGGTTCGAGCAATTCTTCTGCCTCAGCCTACCGAGTAGCTGGGATTACAAGCGTGTGCCACCGTGCCTGGCTAATTTTTGTATTTTTGGTAGAGACACGGTTTCACCATGTTGACCAGGCTAGTCTTGAACTTCTGACCTCAAGTGATCCACCTGCTTCAGCCTCCCAAAGTGCCGAGATTACAGACGTGAGCCACCGCACCCGACCAAATTAATTAATTTTTGAAACAAGGTCTTGCTCTGTCACCCAGGCTGGAGTACAGTGGCACAATCAGCTTCAATCTCCAGGGCTCAAGCAATCCTCCCACCTTAGCCCCCCGAGTAGCTGGGACTATGAGCACACGTCACCACGCCTGGCTAATTATTAATTATTTGTAGAGATGGAGTCGAACTATGTTGCCCAGACTTGTCTCAAACTCCTGGGCTAGGGCGATCCTCCCACCTTGGCTTCTCAAAGTGCTGGAATTACAGGTGTGAGACACCGAGCTGGCCTTTTTTTTTTTTTTTTTTAATAGCTGAAACTTTAAGTTTTGTTTACAACAGCCATCCCAGGCCTGGCACAGTGGTGCTACAAAAAGTTTAAACATTACCTGGAAATGGTGGTGTGCACACCACCATTACTGGGGAGGCTGAGAGTTGAGCCCAGGAATTCAAGGCTGCAGTGAGTTACTCCAGAGTGAGATCCTGTCACTTTAAAAAAAAGGTCAGGCACGGTGGCTCATGCGTGTAATCCCAGCACTTTGGGAGGCTGAGACGGGCAGATCACTTGAGGTCAGGAGTTTGAGACCAGCCTGGCCAACATGGTGAAACCCCCATCTCTACTAAAAATACAAAAATTAGCCAGGCATGGTGGCACATGTCTGTAATCCCAGCTACTTGCGGGGCTGAGGCACGAGAATCACTTGAACCTGGGAGGTAGAGGTTGCAGTGAGCTGAGATCACGCCACTGCACTCCAGCCTGGGTGAGAGAGTGAGACACCATCTCAAAAAAATAAAAATAAAAATAAAAATATGAGGAAAGAAATAAAAAAGGAAAAGCCATCCACAATGAAACTATTAAAGTTATTTATTTATTTATTTATTTATTTATTTTTTAGTATTTTTACAGTTCTTTTAAATTTGTATCACTTATCTATTTGAGAGTCAATTGTCCTGATACACTTTGGACCAACTGAAATAGAATTGGATCAAAACTCCATTCACTGCTTAACTTCCATATTCCTTTATTAAGAATGCCATGATGGCATTTCAGGTTTCCTGGTATCAGCGTCAGCTCAGACCCATATTTAACAATCCTTTAAAATTATGGGCCAGGCGCAGTGTCTCAGCCTGTAATTCCAGCACTTTGGGAGGCCAACCGGTCAGATCACTTGAGTCCAGAAGTTTGAGACCCACTTAGGCAACATGGTGAAACCTCATCTCTACAAAAAATACACAAAAATTAGCTGGGTGTGGTGGCATGCACCTGTAGTCCCAGCTACTTGGGAGGCTGAGGTGGGGGGATCACCTGAGCCTAGGAGGTTGATGCTTCAGTGAGCTATGATTATGCCACCGCACTGCAGCCTGGGCGACAGAGTGAGACCTTGTCTCCAAAAAAAAAAAAAAAAATTTTTTTTTGAAAAAAAGCATCGGGCTGGTGGCTCATGCCTGTAATTTCAGAACATTATGGGAGGCTGAGGCAAGAGGATTGCTGAGCTGAGGAGTTCAAGACCAGCCTGAACAACATAGTAAGACCTTGTCTCTATTTAAAAAATTAATAATATAAATAAAATTCTGGGTAGTCTCTTTTCCCTTGTGCAGTTATTTGATTAAATGACCATGATCCCTCTAGGGGCAAGTCTAGAGAACTATTTTTTTTTTTTTTTTTTTTTTTGGAGACGGAGCCTCTGTCATCCAGCATCCAGGCTGGAGTGCAATGGTGCAATCTCGGCTCACTGCAACTTCTGCCTCCCGGGTTCAAGCAATTCTCCTGCCTCAGCCTCCCAAGTAGCTGGGACTACAGGTGCATGCCGCCACACCCAGCTAATTTTTTGTATTTTAGTAGAGACTGGGTTTCACTGTGTTGCCCAAGCTGGTCTCGAACTCCTGAGCTCAGGTATTCCACCCGCCTCAGCCTCCCAAAGTGCTGGGATTACAGACGTGAGCCACCACGCCCAGCGAGGACTATTTACATATATACATGTGATGGTGTTCCTCGAGGGGGCACAGCCTCTCCTTCAATCAATGGACTCTGTGTCTGAAAACTGACTCAGGCCTGGAAATGGATGAGGGAGTGTAATTTTCTATTGTAGTGAGCATCAGTCTTTTACCCATCAGGTCTAGTTTTTGTTTTTATTTTTATTGAGACCGAGTCTCACTTTATTGCCCAGGCTGGAGCACAGTGGCATGATCTCAGCTCACCGCAACCTCCGCCTCTTGGGTTCAAGTGATTCTTGTGCCTCAGCCTCCCGAGTAGCTGGGACTACAGGCGTGCGCCACCACACTGGGGTAATTTTTATATTTTTAGTAGAGACGGGGTTTCGTCACATTGGCCAGGCTGTCTCAAACACATGACCTCAGATGATCTGCCCGCCTCGGCCTCCCAAAGTGCTGTGATTACAGGCATGAGCCACCGTGCCCAGCCTGTGTTTGTTTTTTAATACAAATTGAACATCATGCTCAGAGGCAGTCCACCTATCTTGACCCTGGTACCATAAAGCTTGTCCAGGCATCCTAATTGCCTACTCTAGCCTGGCTGCTCCTTCTGACAATTACATCTACCTTGCCTGGCAGGTAAGTGTGGCCACTAGGCCCCTGCCATTCCCAAATCCCATCATCTCCTTTTACTTGGGAGTCTAGTTCCATGGTAGTATCTATTCTATCAACCCCACAGGGCATCTCAAAGATACCTGACTTCCCTTGTTGCCTCTGGGCTGCCTGGGTATAGTTAGATGGTGGGTCCTCAGGTCCTAGACAATAAATCCATTTTAACATTGCTCTCTCCCTGAGTCTCATAACCTCTTCTTCAATACTGTCAAGGAAGTTCTGGCATCTCCACCTAATTGTTGTGTGCAAGTTTCATATTCAAGTTTTCCAGTTCAGGCTTTTCAGGGTTTTCAGGCTCATCCACCCCAGGTCCCCAGCCCAGGGCCTCACTTTTTTCCTAGAGGAGCCGTGATTTGACAGGAGACCTATCAAGGCTGCACACTCAGGCTTCTTTGACAGCTCTGTCGTCATCAGATACTGAGCCCGATTTTTAGCAGTTGTCCCTGAAGCTTCAGGAAATGAGTCTCCTTAAAAACTGCCACAAAGCTCCCCATGGCTATTTTTTTTTGAGACAAAGTCTTACTCTCTCATCCAGGCTAAGGTGCAGTGGGATAATCAGGGCTCACTGCAGCCTCTATATCCCAGGCTCAACTGATCCTCCACCTCAGTCCCCGAAATAGCTGGGAACCACAGGTTTTTTAATTTTAGTAGATATGAAGTCTTGCTATGTTGCCCAGGCTAGTCTTGAACACCTGGGCTCAAGCAAGCCTCCTGCATCAGCCTCCCAAAGTGCTGGGATTACAGGCATGATCAACACCATGCCTGGCTCCTCTGGGCTCTCTTAATCACTACTTCCCCTTCCACAAAGATAACTTCCTTGCTTTTCTTTTAGAATATAACCACCCAAGCTTTTATTTCCAAACAATATAGTTTAGTCTTACCTAACTTTTTAACATTGCATAAATGAAACGATATAATCTACAGCTCTATGAATTCTTTAGTGACTATCTTCTTTACTACAACATTCTATTTATGACAGTCCTCATGTTGTGAGTTGCAATCAGTCATTCATTTTTATGGCTGTATCATATTCCATCGTAGGACTACATGCCAATTTATTTATAAATTCTACCTTCTCTAGACATTTGAATTGTTTCCAGTTTTGAACTATTATGAAGAGTGTTGCTATAAATTTTCTTTCTTTCTTTCTTTTTTTTTTTTTTTGAGACAGAGACTCGCTCTGTCGCCAGGCTGGAGTGCAGTGGTGCAATCTCGGCTCACTGCAACCTCTGCCTCCCAGGTTCAAGCAATTCTCCTGCCTCAGCCTCTTGAGTAGCTGGGACTACAAGCAAGCGCCACCATGCCCAGCTAATTTTTGTATTTTTAGTAGAGATGGGATTTCGCCATGTTGGCCAGGATGGTCTCCATCTCTTGACCTCGTGATCCTCCTGTCTCAGCCTCCCAAAGTGCTGGGATTACAGGTGTGAGCCACTGCACCCAGCCTCTATAAATTTTCTTGTATATATCTTTTTTTTGAGGTGGAGTCTCGCTCTGTCTGCCCAGGCTGGAGTGCAATGGCACAATCTCGGCTCATTGCAACCTCCACCTCCCAGGTTCAAGTAATTCTCCTGCCTCAGCCTACTGAGTAGCTGTGGGTTTACAGGCGTGTGCCACCATGCCCGGCTAATTTTTTATATTTTTGGTAGAGACAGGGTTTTACCATGTTGGCCAGGATGGTCTCGAACTCCTGAACTCAAGTGATCCTCCTCCTTTTTTTTGAGATTTGGTCTTGCTCTGTCACCCAGACGGGAGTGTAGTGATGCAACCAGAGCTCACTGCAGCCTCCATTTCACTGGCTCGGGGTCCTCCTGTCCCAGCCTCCTAAGTAGGTGGGACTACAGGGATAATCTACCAGGCCCAGCCAATTTCTTTTATTTTTAGTAGAGACTAGATTTCACTATGTTCCCCAGACTGGTCTCAAACTTCTGAGCTCAAAGGATTCTCACACCTTGTGTGTTGGGATTACAGGTGTGAGCCACTGCACCTGGCCTTGTCTATATCTCTTGGTGTACATATGTAAATGTTTCTATTGGTTGTATACCTGGGAGTGGAATAGCTGGCTCATAAGGTTTGCCTATGTTCGGTTTTCACAGATACCAAAACAGTTTTCTAGAAACTGATTTGAGTAATAAATAATAAGGCTCTGGTCTCCCGCAAAAAAAAAAAAAAAAAGTTTTCTAAAATGATTGTATCCTGTCCCCACACCCGGCCTCCCCATGGCTTGTACATATCTAAAGTTGGCTGTTAGCTATCCTGAGACTATCATTTTCTTTTTTGTAAGGTTTCAATGCTGTTAATAAAAGCTGGTCTACCCTACATTTCTTTTCTTTATTTTTTTGATGCAGAGTCTCACTCTGTTGCCCAGACTGGAGTGCCATGGTGCAATCACAGCTTACTGCAGCCTCAAACTCCTGGGCTAGAATGGTCTCGAAACCCACCTCAGCCTTCTGAGTAGCTAGAACTACAGGGATATTTCACCATACCCAGCTAATTAAAAAAAACTTTTTTGTAAAATTACCAGTTTCAATAATAGCTAAAAGTGTTCAAAATGTTAATAAAGGTTTTTGTTGCTTGGCTAAATAAATAAATAAATAAATTTTGTAGAGACAGGGTCTTACTGTGGTGCGTGGGTTGGTCTTGAATTCCTGGCCTCAAGTGATCCTACCTCCTTGACCTCCCAAAGCACTGGATTATAGGCATGAGTCACCACACCTGGCCAAATAAAAGCTAGCCTACTCAACATTTCTTGTAATGATCATTGCTCCATACCAGTCAAATGCCACAGATGCCCCGTTTACCTGCCCAATTTCACTCTCCACCTACAGCTCACCCCCAATGAACTACAGGTGAGAACCTTAATAATTTTGTTGCCACTTCGTGCCAAGGGTTATCATGAACCACTTACCACTAGTAACAATGCTCATATTGCTGTCATGAGGGATTGTTTCCATGTGAAATCAGTGGAGCCCTAGGCAGAATTGATCACTACAGAGAGGTGAAGACAGAATAGGTCAAAGGCCTGGGAAGAATGTGAGGCCAAGAGGCTCTGAATGGCATTAAGAGATGTTTGATCTAGGCCAGGCATGGTGGCTCATTCCTGTAATCCCAGCACTTTGAGAGGCTGAGGCGGGTGGATCACCTGAGGTCAGGAGATTGAGACCAGCCTGGCCAACATGGTGAAACCCTGTCCCTACTAAAAATACAAAAATTAGCTGGGTGTGGTGATGCACGCCTGTAATCCTAGCTGCTTGGGAGGCTGAGGCAGAATTGCTTGAACCTAGCTATTGGGAGGCTGAGGCAGGAGAATTGCTTGAACCTGGGAGGTGGAGGTTGCAGTGAGCTGAGATCACACCACTGCACTCCAGCCTGGGATACAGAGCAATACTCTGTCTCAGAAAAAAAAGAAAAGAAAAGAAATAGATGTCTGATCTAAAGGCATATCATAGATTTTCTTTCCAAACTAGGCTTACTCCATTTGCATTTATTGATGTGATGTGATGGATAGGTTTGGACTTCATTCTGGCATCATGTTATGCTTTCTCTCTTCAGCGATTTCTTTGTTTTTCTTTCGCTCTGTGGTGTGTATGTAATTTCTTCAGGCTTTTTTTTCACTGCCTTGGTGGCAATTTGGCATGCTATTTCTTCTGGAACCACCAGACTTTGTCAGGACAAGATGTGTCAGATATGCTAAGATGCGATCTGATGCATACAGTCTAAGACTCCACACACAAATGCACTTTCTGTTTGTTTTACTGCTAGACATTTGTGTCCTACACAGGAATCCTGATAAATTTGATTTTGCCTGATGCCCATCAAAAGACAGGGAGAAAAATGGTTGGTATGTGTATAATTACATGCGCAGTTTTAGGGAAGACATTCCTGAGAGAACTTTGATTTTGACTACAGTTAAGGAGAATCTTCTGCTTATAATTTCATCTGTCTGATAACTGGAAGAATTTTCTTTTCTTTTTTTCTTTTTTCGAGACAGAGACTCGCTCTGTGCCCCAGGCTGGAATGCAGGGTGCGATCTCAGCTTACTGCAACCTCTGTCTCCCCAGGTTCAAGCGATTCTCATGCCTCAGCCTCCTGAGTAGCTGGGATTACAGGCGTGCACCATGACATCTGGCTAATTTTTGTATTTTTAGTAAAGACAGGGTTTCACCATGTTGGGCAGGCTGGTCTCGAACTCCCAACCTCAAGTGATCCGCCCACCTCAACCTCCCAAAAGTGCTGGGATTACAGGCGTGAGCCACTGCGCCCGGCCCAAAGAATTTTCTACTACACACCAGCTTCTGGCACATTATGATTCACACTTTGTTCCTTCTCCAGCACCCACAAAATCTCAGTGCCAGGCACTGTAGGGCACATTTCTACTGAGATGTGACCTCTGGCCCTGCTCCTTCATGTCACCCACTTTGTGCTCTGTGCCAGATGAGTTGGCACAGAGGGAGGTAGGATATTTCTACACCAGGATGGCTGGCTATAATTTAATTATAGGTGGAGAAGAGTACAGACCACATAAATGTATTCCACTAAACCCAAACTAAATGTATTCCATGTCAGTTTCCCCTCATTCATATTTTACACCACCATCACTTGACATGAGGCAAAAGAGAATTCTGAGCAAAAAAGTAGTCTCTGCTTGAAGCAAAATTGCCTTAACTATGAAAATTTTACAAAAGCGGATGCCCATGTGAACACATTATGAGAACCTTCCAACACTGGCCTCAATAGGGGCTCATGGAACTGAGAGGCCCAAAGTTTTGGTGTCTGTAGCTGTAAATTTGCTTCTGCTAACAATTAAAAAAAAAAAGAGGGCCGGGCACCCTGGCTCATGCCTATAATCCCAGCACTTTGGGAGCCTGAGGCAGGCGGATCACCTGAGGTCAGGAGATCGAGACCATCCTGGCCAACATGGTGAAACCTCGTCTCTACTAAAAATACAAAAATTAGCGGGGCATGGTGGCACATGCCTGTGATCCCAGCTACTCGAGAGGCTGAGGCACAAGAATCGCTTGAACCCAGGAGGCAGAGGTTGCAGTGAGCCAAGATTGCGCCATTGCATTCCAGCCTGGTGACAGAGCAAGACTCCATCTCAAAAAAAAAAAAAAAAAAAAAAAATTAGCTGCACGTGGTGGTGCACGCTTGCAATCCCAGCTACTTGGGAGGCTGAGGTGGGAGAATTGCAGAGGTTGCAGTGAACCAAGATTGCACCACTGCACTCTAGCCTGGGTGACAGAGTGAGACTCTGCCTCAAGAAAACAAACAACAAAAAACTGGACATTTTGGAAAGTTTGATGATGAGGAGGAACACAAAGCAAGAGGAATTAGTGTAGGAATCAAATGTTGAATGGTGTTAATCGAAGATAACTTGATACTGTCTCCATGGTACCTTGTGGTTTATAATTTAATATAGAGACATTATTAAACTGCAAAATACATGGAAGAAAGTCCAACAAAATTCTGGGGTTTTTTCCCGTGATGATTGATGCTTTTTAGGAAATAAATGTCAAAACCTTTCCAAAAATTTTCCTTTTCTTCTTTTGGGTTCCTCTGTCTTGCTGGTGCCTGGCCTGCAGATTGTGCCGATGGGGTGAAGTTGCAGAGCCTAATAAGCAGATGACTCTTCCTGAGAGGATTTAGAGCAGCCCTGTCCAATACAACTTTCTGCAACAAAGAAATGTTCTGTGTCTTGTAGTCGCTAAACACACGTTGCTATTGAGCACTTAAAAATGTGGCTAGTGAAAGTGAGGAATTGAGTTTTACATTTAATTTAGGTTTAATCAGTTAGAATCGAAATTTAAGTAGCCACATGTGGCTAGTGGCTACCATGGATGGCTGTGCAGTTGGAGCCACAGTGAGGGGGAACGTGACACAGAAAAGGGAAAGAGGAGGAGGACATGCCAGCCAGGTGGCTGTGAGCAGCTGGAGGGTTTTGAGCAGAGAGGGCCAAAGGACAGTTCTACCCAGAGGGGCTTTCCAGTAGGGCTTTTCTATGTTTTTCCTTCTCAGACATACACCGGGCAGCCAGGTAGGCCAGCTAGGAGTGGGGCTGACTCATCCATTAGGCCCATCATACTTTTAGCGGTCCACAAAATGTTTTTATTCTTTTAAAATTTAAATTTAATTTCATTAATTTTTTTTAATAGACAGGGTTTCGCTATGTTGCCTAGGCTGGACTCAAACTCCTGGGCTCAAGTGATCCTCCCACTTCAGCCTCCTGAGTAGCTGGGACTACAGGTGCTCTTTCTTCCTAAAAATATGTTTAGTAATGGATGATTGGATGCAGAAAAAAAAATATATGTTTAGGTTGAAGAAAACACTTTAGACTGGGAGCAGTGGCTCAGGCCTGTAATCCTAGCACTTTGGGAGGCAGAGGCAGGTGGTGACATGAAGTCAGGAGCTTGAGACCAGCCTGGCCAACATGGTGAAACCCCATCTCTACTAAAAATACAAAAATTAGTCGGGTGTGGTGGTGAGTGCCTGTAATCCCAGCTACTCAGGAGGCTGAGGCAGGAGAATCACTAGAACCTGGGAGGCAGAGGTTACAGTGAGCCAAGATTCACCACTGCACTCCAGCCTGGGCAACATAGGAAGACTGTCTCAAAAAAAAAAAAAAAAAAATATATATATATATATATAATTCATATATTCATCTTTATGCCAACCCAGTGGTAAGATAATAATTTTTTAAAAAATTTTTAATGGAGAAAGGGTCCTTTGAAAACAAAAGTGCCTAGGACCCAAGAAAGTCATTGTCTGTGTGTGTGTGTGTGTGTGTGTGTGTGTGTGTGTGTGTGTAGCAGGGAAGGGAGAGGGTGCTTTCTTCTTCCAACATTGACAGCTCATGCTAGACTCCTAGGCACCTGCCTGGCCACCACCCCCTTTAAATGCCGCCCCCTCTCCCGGGGTACACCTGGCCTCCCTGAATGGGCCCACCTGCCCCGAGGCCTGGCACGAAGAAGCCAAACAAAAGAACAAAGATTCCTCAACAATCCCAGGGTCAGAAGAATCTTCTGTACCAGGCTTGGAAAATGCACCTGCGGACTATGACATACTTGGGCAAAGGGCATTGTGGGGCCAGGGAGGAGTTCAGGAGCTGTGCAGGAAGAAGGAGGGAGGGCAATGCTATGTTGTAGAAAGGGTGAGCTCATTAAACTTTACAATCCCCCTGATACTGACCCCATTTTACAGACGAAGAAGCATGGGCTCAGAGAGGTTGAGGAGCTTGCCCAAGCTCACAGCTGGGATTCAAACTTAGGCGTCTTTGGTCCGACACCCATGCCCCAGCTCCCTCGTCACAGATCCCTGGGATACCTGACTCAGCCATTGTAGGGCCGCGGGCGGGGCATAATGGACAGCTTCTAAGCTGACCACCCAATCCTCCCCAGTGGCTGTTCTCCATTCCTGCTTCCCAGAAACCCATCCTTCCCGGGCTGATCCTACAAAGGATCTTCTATAATAGGATCTTGGGGCCTCAATTTCCCTTTTGTGCGTGTGCTGGGGCAGGGATCTTCCTCTAGGAATGAGGAAGAGAGAGAGACAAGAGAAAAGCATGGCCTTTCTGCCCCACTGTGCTAAGCCCCCAGCCAGGGTCCTCCCGGAAGCCCAACTCCTGCCGCGCGCGGCCTGGCGTGCAGGAATGGAGCTCGGTCCCTTTAAATCCCGCCGAGGAACGCCTGAGGGCCGGGCCGCGCCATTCCCGGATCCGCCGGCTGGGAATCGCGGGTCCCCGCGCGTCCTGCAGCACTTCCCGCGCCGCGCCCCCAGCCCAGTGCGCCGGCTCTGTGCCGGGGTGCCCGGGCGGTCGGGAGAATGAGCCGCATCTACCACGACGGCGCGCTCCGGAACAAGGCGGTGCAGAGCGTCCGGCTGCCAGGGGCCTGGGACCCCGCCGCCCACCAGGGGTAGGCCTGGGCTCACGGCCTCGGGTCGGCCTCCCCTGCCCCGGCTCGAACCCCGCAACAGGATCGGGTGGGGGGGTGGGATGCGGGTGGGGGAAAACTGGGGTTGCCAAAGCCGCCTCTCCGCCTTCAGTCCGCCCCTCCAGTCCGCCGCTCCCGGCGCCCCTGCCGCCGCGCCCGCCCAGCGACCCCATGACACAGATCGGCTTAAAGCTCCCCGCCTGTCCGCCTGCCCTCGAGAGAGGGTCCCGACCCCCAGACAGGTCTCCGAAGGCTGGGCTTCGCCTCACGCCGACCTCCGGCCCCACCCCACCCGCGTAACTATAAACTCCAGCTACTTGCCGCGCTGCTTTTGCACAGACTCATGCCCTGCCCCAGAAGGGACAGTGGCCGTGCTGTGGCGGGAACAGCGGGCGGGCTGGTCCAGAGCAGGGCCTGCCTGGGTGAGGAGGATTTGGAGGGCCAGGCCCTGTCGTCACAGGGTTATGAGGCCGAAGGGACCATTCCATTTACAACTGCGCTGAAGAATTGTGCTAAGTGAAATAAGCCAGATACAGAAAGACAAATACTGTGTGATCTCGTATATGGAACCTATAAAAGCGTTGAACCATAGAAACGGCAGAACAGACCAGGCGCTGTGGTTCACGCCTGTAATCCCAGCACTTTGGGAGGCCGAGGCGGGTGGATCACTTGAGGTTAGGAGTTTGAGACCAGCCTAATGGTGAAACCCTGTCTGTACTAAAAATACAAAAATTAGTCGGGCGTGGTGGCAGATACCTGTAATCCCAGCTATTTGGGAGGCTGAGGCATGAGAATCGCTTGAACCTGGGAGGTGGAGGTTGCAGTGAGCCGAGATTGTGCCACTGCACTCCATCCTGGGCGATGGAGCAAGACTGTGTCAAAAGAAAAGAAACAGTAGAACAGTGAACAGTGATTGCCAGGGGATAGTGGATGGGGATGGGGTAATGATCAAAGGTACAAACTTTCAGTTATAGAATAAACAATTTCTGGGGACCTAATGTACAGCATGGGGTCTGGTGGGTGTGTTCATTAATCTGTGGTAATCATTACATAGTGTGTACTTAAATCATCACGTTGTGCACCTTGAATATATACAGTCTTTTGTCAGTTAAATATTTAGAAAAATAATTGTGGGGGGTGGGGAAGAATTGGATAGAGACCAGCTAGGTAGAGTTTTCACTTCCCACTCCCATCCCTATTCCACTGTCATCTTCAGCTGTCCCCATGCTTCTCCATTTCTGTGGATGCAAAAAAGGAAGCCTCCACGTTCTGCTTTTATGAAAACCAGAGTCGAGAAGCCAGGGGTCCACTTCCCCTCAGTGAAGGACCGTGTGATCTTGGACTAGTCTCAGACTTCTGAGTTTTGGTTTCTTCACCTCTCAGTAATAACCATTTCCTCGGGTTAATGACCACCTGGATATGAATGAGAAAAGGAATATGAGAGTGTTTAAAAACAGGTGGAAAGGGAAAATAGTTTATTGCAGCTTAGATACCTACCCTCACATTTGGACCAATAAAAAAGTAAAATCTTTTGTATTTAGTAATCACTTAATAGCTTACAAAACACCTTCACACACATGATCTTGTGTCAACATCAGAGGAGCAGAGTGAGGCAGCTGTTTTCCTCCCCATTTTGTAGATAAGACTGAGGCTCTGGTTCCAGTAACTCCCAGTGGCCTTGTAGGAGGGGGCCATAGCTTGATCTTAGGGCAGCCTGACAAGGTTCCTCCTGGCATCTGGGCAATGCCCCAGCCTTTGGGACCCTTTGGAGATCCCTATGTCGGAAGCACGGGGAAAGGAGCTGCTCAGTACCCAGCCTTCTCAGGGCTGGGTAAATAGGAGACACGGGTGAGATTTGCTGAGGACTGACAAAACTGGCTATCCTTTCTTTCCCTTTCATCCCCAGGGGAAATGGTGTCCTGCTGGAGGGAGAACTGATCGATGTATCTCGGCACAGCATCTTGGACACTCATGGCAGGAAGGTGAGGATGCTTCCTCGGTGCTAGCTAGAGGGCACTGACTTCACGGTCATCATCCACTGTGGCATCTCCTTGTGCTGGGTCCTTCCAGTGCCATGAGTTGGGATTCTTGATGGGCTTAGAAAGCAAGTGGGAAGTAGGTCAGGAGATTTATAGCCAAATGGGACCACCAGCTGGAAGAATAGTTTAAGGCTGTGTTGAGCAGCAGACAGGTGGGAGGGCCTGTGTTCTTGCCAGAAGAGCCTGGGTCATGGCTGAGAAGGCAGACCAGGCCCTAAACCCCAGTCTTGCCTGAATGTAAACTCTGACAGTGTCTGGGGCTTCAGTTCCCATGTTGATGTCCTGGCTGCCTTTGCCCTCTCAGCCTCCTGGGGTCATGTCCTGTATCACCACCCCATCTCAGGTGTCTGTGGGTACACCTGGCATTTACCATCCAGTACTAGCCTGTGTCTTTTTTCGGAGCGCTAGTTCCGACTTTCCACTCCCCCTTCAAATAGCCCCACCTAGATGTGCTGACCACCTTATCTCCTTGATCTCTATAACTGAGCTTGGTCTCTAAAAATGCCCCCTCCAGTAGGGCCAGAGGCCTGGTGCTACATGGAGCCTGCATGTCCCTCCTGTACCCCATGAGAACAGCTCAGCACTATTTTCATGTCAGGCGGTATTTTGCTGCACCCTCCCCTCCTTAGCACACAGTGGGCAGGTGGGAACACCCATCAGAGCCCCTAGCTAGCCTGCCCAGGAGAGCCCAGCAGTGTCTCCATGCTGATGTGGGGCTTGCTTGCCTCATCTGCCGTCAGGCAGGGCCTTCTCCTAGCCCCTCTTAAAACTTGCCTCCTCTGAGTTCCATTCCTGGTGATGGTGCAGTTGCCCTCCCAGCCACCGGGCTGGGAACCCTCACTGTCTCCTCCCCAGGTAAGCAATGCCAGGCCCTGCTGGCATTGGGCCCTTGCCCATTCCTCCCCCTCCCTTGCCTTCCCTTCCTCTTTCCATGGCTGCTTACCTGAGATGGGCCCTCAGCCTGTCCTGATAAAACCTTGCACCTGTCCCCCTGCCTTCTGGCTGTCCCCAGAACTCATCCCTGCCCTGCTGCCAATAGGACAAATGTCTTTCCAGAAATACATCTCTGAGGGTCTCACTGCTGCTCAGAAACCTTTCAGGATTCCTTGTCCATCAAATAAAATCCAAACTCCGAATGCCAACTCAAGACCTGTCCTGAACCAAGCCCACTTGCTTTCCCAGCCTGGGCTCCCAGAAGGCCTCCAGGTGCCCTGCGTGGCTCAAACATGCACAAGGGCCTCTTGGCTTTTATTTCCTATACTGTCCCAGGCTTTTAATATTATTCCTACAGCTTCTTATTCCCACAGTTGGCAGACCTCCCTACCCTCCAAGACTTCATCTTTCTTGATTCCACCAGGATGTGGCCTCCTATTCTTCAGGCCCTGGGAGCATTTCACCCACCTGCCTTGAACAACTGGCAAACAGCACTTATAGCACAGTTCACGCTTGGCACTGTGCTTGCCCCTCTGTTATCTCATTGAACCCTCATAATATTCTTAAACACAGACATCACGTTATCCCCATGTGATGGGGAAACTGAGTGGTTTGTCCCAGGCTGTTGGAAGGGGCAGAGTGGCTGCCCTCACCCAGGGCTCCTTTTCAGTGCCCTTTCCATTGCACCTTGGCAGCGCCCATTCCTGCTTCATGGTATTTGCGGTCCTCGGGCTTGGGTTATGGTTTTGTTTTGTTTTGTTTTTGTTTTTTGAGATGAAGTCTCATTCTGTCTCCCCGGCTGGAGTACAGTGGCAGGATCTCGGCTTACAGCAACCTCCGCCTCCTGGGCTCAAGCGATTCTCCTGCCTTAGCCTCCTGAATAGCTGGGATTACAGGCACATGCCACCACACCTGGCTAATTTTTTATATTTTTGATGGAGACAGGGTTTCACCATGCTGGCCAGGCTGGTCTCGAACTCCTGACCTCGTGATCCACTCGCCACTGCCTCCCAAAGTGCTGGGATTACAGACGTGAGCCACTGTGCCCAGCCCAAGTTATGGTTTTCTATATATACTTTTTGTCTTTGGCTGTGTGGAAGCCCTGGGCTTGCCCTGTTAGGAACTTCTAGCAGGGCTCATTATATGCGGCAGGTGCTCTTGTGAACCCATGAATGCATAAGTATTTGGGGGCAGAGGGAGCATCTGCCTAGCTTGAACATCTTTTGGAGCTGAGGTGGGCTTCTAGGGTAGATGTGAGGTTGGCGGGGCTGCAGCCGGAGCCCAGAGTGTGTGTGTTGTGGGATGAAGCCGCCCCCTCACTCTCTGTCTGCCTGGCCCCAGGAGCGCTACTACGTGCTGTATATCCGGCCCAGTCACATCCATCGCCGTAAATTCGACGCCAAGGGAAATGAAATCGAGCCCAACTTCAGCGCCACCAGGAAGGTGAACACGGGCTTCCTCATGTCGTCCTACAGTAGGTATCCTCTGCCCTCCCTCTCTCCCTCAGGGCCCTCCTGCAGTGTGGCGGCCTTTCTCTTCTGAGCCTCTTAGCCCCTGGAAAGTGTCTCTTCAGCCCTCTTGATGTTGAAGCCCTGTATGTGGCCTGAGGCTTCCACATCCACCCCTGGCCTTGCCTCCCATTTACTCAGAGGATCCCCGTTCCCTCCCCTCCATTCCAGGGGCCAGGCTGGCCTTCCCACCTCCTGCCATTTCCTGTATCTGGCAGAATCACCCACAAACCTGGCTTTGGGCTCTAACTGCCTTTGTGCAGAGCCCAGGCCAGGCCCTAGGCGGTCTCTGTTTTACTGCCCAAATCCTCTTTTGGTTCTGGGGTCTCAGTCCGTGCGTGCTATATAACAAAATACCTTAGGCTGGGTGATTTATTAACAATAGAAATGTGTTTGTTTATTTTATTTTTAATTTTTAAAATTTTTGTTTCTTTGTGCATTTTTAGTGGCTGGGTTTTGCTATGTAGCCCAGGCTGGAGTGTAGTGGTTATTCTCAGGTGCAATCATAGCACACTATAGTCTTCAAGTGATCCTCCCTCCTCAGCCTCCAGAATAGCTGGGACTGTAGGTGTGTGCCACTGCACCTACTTAAGAACAGAAATGTCTGGCTTACAGTTCTGGAGGCGGGGAAGTCCAAGGTCAGGGTGCCAGCAGATTCAGTGTCCGGTGAGGGCTTGCTTTGCGCTTCAGAGACGGTGCCTTCTTGCTGAGTCCTCACATGGCAGAAGGCAAGGCGGCTCTCTCTTCAATCTCTTCTGTAAAGCACTCATCCCACTCGTATGCCATGACTCACCTCCTAAAGGTCCCACCTCTTAATACTATCACATTGGTGATTAAGTTTCAACATATGATTTTTTTTCTTTTTTAAAAAAATTTTAGGGTGAGTGTGGTGGCTCATGCCTATAATCCCAGCACTTTGGGAGGCCGAGGTGGGTGGATCACTTGAGGTCAGGAGTTCGAGACCGGCCTGGCGAACATGGTGAAACCCCAGCTCTACTAAAAATACAAAAATTAGCTGGGCATGGTGGCGTGCACCTGTAATACCAGCTATCTGGGAGGCTGAGGCAGGAGAATCACTTGAACCCAGGAGGTGGAGGTGCAGTGAGCCGAGATTGCACCACTGCACTCCAGCCTAGGCAACAGAGTGAGACTCCGTTTCAAAAAAAAATAGTAATAATAATAATAATACTTTTTGATGGCCACTTTACTTCTAGGCATTATGTCCATACTCCATCAGTGGAGGAAAGGCAGCTGAGTTTGACTTTTTTTTTTTCCTTTTCTTTTGCTGTCTGAGACAAAGTCTGGCTCTGTCCCCCAGGCTGGAGTGCAGTGGCTCAATCTTGGATCACTGCAACCTCCGCCTCCCAGGCTCAAGCGATTCTCCTGCCTCAGCCTCCTGTTAACGTACGAATTTTGGGGGATACATTCCAACCATAGCAAGCCCTCCATGATCTTCTTCTTCTTCCTGATTTTGTCTCTGGTTGAGCCTCTTTGCTGTCTGCCCCTGGGTGAGAAGGTTTTGAGGTTGAGTGGGACTCTATCACTTTATTCATTCATACCTTCAGTTACTCATTGACTCTCTGAACATTAGGGACCATCTATATCATGTGCCAGCCCTTGTGCCACATGCTGAGAGGTCCAGGGATGAACAAGACCCAGTCGTATACTTGAAATGTTCTTAGTCCAGTAGAGGAGATGGACAGGCCCGGGCCTGGATCCCGTGAAGGGTGCTGAGCCCAGGCAGGCATGGCTGGGGATGCCCTAGAGCAGGGAATAACAGGACTGAATCCTGAAAGATAAGCAGAGGTCAGCCAGGTGCCAGGGATTTGCAGGGTGTTTCAGAGAGGCAGAGGGTGCCCAATGCCTGGCAGTTGAAGAGTTCCTGACCCAGGTATGAGAAGCCATGCAGGGCAGGCAGCAGGAGGGGCGGGCACTGAGGAGCTCAACTCTAACCAAGGGTGCAGGGCAGCCCTGTAGTGAGGTTTTAAGTAGGCAGGTGATGTGATCAGGTCTGTGTTTGAAAATCTCCAGGGAGGCAAATAGCCTGGAGCCCAGCGATGCCTGTGAAAAAGCTGTTAGGGTCACCTAGGACAGAGATAAGAAGGCCAGGATTAAGGACCTGTCAGTGGGGGTGCAGAGACTGGAGGAGCTCAAGCTAGAGGAGGCACAGTGGCCTCAGTGTTGGCTTGGCTACTGGGGAGGAAGAGGAAGGAGTCGTGATGATGCCAGGGGTTGGGCATCGGTGCCAGACTTGGGGAAATGGAGGGGCGAGAGGTTTGTGGGGAGGAGGTCTGTTTGGAACACACTGAGTTTGAGTTGCCAGGAGCACTGCTGGGTAGAGGTCTACTGAGGCCTTGGAGGATAGTTCTAGAACTTGGGGAGAGAACTGGGCTGCAGCACATCGAGAGTATTGAAGCTATGGAAGTGGACCCAGTTACCCAGGAGGAGAAAAGAAGTGGGCCCAGGAGGTTGTCTTGGGAAATAGCAACAATAGGAGATGGATGGAGAAGGAAGAGCAGGAGATGGAGCCACTGAAAGGTCCGAGGGATGGGAAGGTGTCATGTCTCTAAAGCCCCGCGAAGCCAAGGGGAACAGGCGTGAGGAGCTAGCAGTGGGGTCAGGCACTGCCCACGGGTTAGTTAGGTCTGAGATATGGAGCATCCAAGAAGTTTGCAGGTTAAGAGCTCACCGGTGACTCTGGTGGGGGTACATGGGGTCTGGAGCAGTAGGTGTCAAAGCCAGAACGCAGGAAGGCCTTGAGGAAAGGTCAAGGAGTGGGGAGAGAGAGACAGGTCCTCAGGAGGGGGGAAGGGGTCTATCTGCAGCCCAGATGGAGGAGCTGGCTTGAGGCAGGAGGAGAGGCCTCCTATCCTTTGAGACAGAAGGAAAGAGGAGATGTTTTGTGTGGTCAGACGTGAGTTGATGGCTGGGCGTGGTGGCTCACGCCTGTAATCCCAGCACTTTGGGAGGCTGAGATGGGTGGATTACCTGAGGTCAGGAGTTTGAGACCAGCCTGGCCAACATGGTGAAACCCCGTTTCTAACAAAAATACAAAAATTAGCTGGGTGTAGTGGCACACGCCTGTAATCCCATCTACTCGGAAGGCTAAGGCAGGAGAATTGCTCAAACTCAGGAGGTAGAGGTTGCAATGAGCCGAGATTGCACCACTGCACTCCAGCCTGGGTGACAAAGCGAAACTCCATCTCAAAAAAAAAAAAAAAGGGTTGACAGGTGAGTGGTCAGGGAAGTGAGAGGTCTCACTTGATGGCTTCTGTTACCTTGCAAAGAAAGTGAGATGCTCTGTCTAGAGGGTGTCAGGGCAGAGGGCTGAGGAGGATGGAGCAGTCCTGTGGGAGCAGCCACCTGTGCAGTCCCAGAAGGCACCCCTGGCAGAGGTTGGCTGAGGTTGTACACCATGAATGGAATGTGCTCCATGAAATGTGTTCATGGGTTGGCTGGGATGTTCTCCAGTGAAGTGCGGCCACCTGGGCTTGGCGTGGCGCAGGCAGCCTGTGGGACAAGCTCCGGGGTTGCTGTGCTGGGGTGTGGCCTTGTGAACACACAGTCCTGGGAGGCTGGGCCCACTTCACAGTCCGGGAGTGCCCCTTCCCTAATCCAGCACCTGGATTTAGGACTCCTCCCTTAGTCCATGAACTCTGCCAGGGCCAGGAGAGAGGAGGGGGACTACCAGAGTTTACTCCTGGTTCCAGTAGACCTCACCCCAGCCAGGTAGACCCTGAGAGCCTGGAGAGAACCCTGCCTGGCCACCGGGGTCTCAAGATGGAATGTGTTGGGGTGCTTTGAATCCTGCCTCCTCTACTACTGTGTGACCTTGAGCTAATTACTGAACTTCTCTAAGCCTTAGTTTTCTCATCTGTAAGATGGGAATAGTGAAAACATATGAATGCTTACCTAGGGGTCCATGTGCCAGGCGCTGTGCTACATGCTTTATTTCCTTTATACGTCATTTCAGTCCTGTCAGGTAGGTTCTGATTTTATCCTATTTTTCGGGTACGGAGAGGTGATGTAACTTGCCTAAGTTATTGTGGAGCCCAGATCTGCACCAGGCTGCCTGTCCCCAGCTCATGCCTGTCCGCCTCTGCTGTGGAGTTCCTTGATGAGGACTCGCAGAATGGGCACTGAGTCCCAGCCTCCGGGTGACTGAGCTTGGAAACACTCAGCCCTCACCTGGCTCCTGAGAGGCCCTCCGGAAGTTCTTGCTGCCACAGTGATAATGACCCTCCTGCGCTCTGTGCCTGCAGAGGTGGAAGCCAAGGGGGACACTGACAGGCTCACGCCCGAGGCGCTGAAGGGGCTGGTCAACAAGCCAGAGCTGCTCGCGCTGACAGAGAGCCTCACCCCCGACCACACAGTGGCGTTCTGGATGCCCGAGTCAGAGATGGAGGTGATGGAACTCGAGCTGGGGGCCGGGGTACGGCTGAAGACTCGGGGCGATGGTCCCTTCCTGGGTGAGCAATGCAACCCTCACTGTGGCCCACTGTTCCTGTGTGGCCCATGGGGGCTCTTGGCCTCCCTTCTGCCTAGAGCTCATGGGAGCAGGCAAGGGCTGGCCTCCATGGGGACACGACCAAGCCCTTGAGATTTACTCCTAAATCCCTGCACAAGTGCCCTAGGGCCATTGGGCTCGACAGCCTGGATCCCCGGGTGCCACCCAATCCCATGGTTCCTGTGAGCGACTCTCCCACCATACCTTGGGGGTCCCACCCAGGGGCTCATTGACCACATCTATGCCTGGAGAAAACAGTGGTTTAACCCAGGCCTAGGGGACCCCACCATAATGGGCCCAGCCCTCACTATGTTTCTGCCACAGGGACAGAGGACATTCAATTTCATCTCTTCTTTCAGATTCATTGGCCAAACTTGAGGCTGGAACAGTGACCAAGTGTAATTTCACTGGTGATGGAAAGACAGGGGCATCCTGGACAGACAACATCATGGCCCAAAAGTGTTCGAAGGGGGCTGCAGCGGAGATCCGAGAGCAGGGGGATGGGGCAGAGGACGAGGAGTGGGTAGGTACCTGGTGTTGGTGCAGTTGTATCTCCTGGCAGGAGCATGGTACATACTGGTTGAGGTTGTGGGTAGGATGAGAAGACGACAGGATGAATCTTACCCCCCAGCTTTAGTGGAATTCTGTGAAACACCTGGGAATGTGTTAGCATCAGGAGAATTCCTCTAAGGTATGAAGAATGACAACCTGGGACCTTTCTTGTAGGTGGCTCTGAACCTAACTATTCCCCAAAGATTCCCAAGTGGTAGGAAGGAGGGGGTGCAGAGGGATATTAATCATGGTCATTAAGTCTCAAAACATTTCTACTTCAAGTGAATACATTAACCATGCTGAGGCAGTTGAACAACTGAATGCGTAGTTTTTCCTCCTTTGGTTTGGGCTCCTTGCCTGAAGTGTCTGGAGAATGGCTGACCTGGTCCTTACTGGTTTTTCTTTTGATGAGAGTCAGTCCCCACGTTGATCCTCAGCCTATTCACAGTTGCTTTTCTTTTCATTTCTTTTCTCTTTTTTTGGGAGATGGAGTCTCATTCTGTTGCCCAGGCTGGAGTGCAGGGGCACGATCATGGCTCACTGCAGCCTCGAACTCCTGGGCTCAAATGATCCTCCCACCTCAGCCTCCCAAGTAGCTGGGACTATAGGCATGCATCACCACGCCTGGCTAATTTTTTTATTTTTTGTAGAGACGAGGTTTTGCCATGTTGCCCAGGTTCACAGTTGTTTTTCTGAAGTATATTTTACCCAAAGACTTGAATTGATGTCATAAGGCCCCAAAATGAACATTTATTATTTTATTTTATTTTATTTTTTTGAGACGGAGTTTCACTCTTATTGCCCAGGCTGGAGTGCAATGGCGCCATCTCAGGTCACTGCAACCTTTGCCTCCCGGGTTCAAGCAATTCTCCTGCCTCAGCCTCCCAAAGTGCTGGGATTACAGGCATGCGCCACCATGCCTGGCTAATTTTGTATTTTTAGTAGAGACGAGGTTTCTCCATGTTGGGCTGGTTGGTCTCGAATTCCCGACCTCGGGTGATCCACCTGCCTCAGGCTCCCAAAGTGCTGGGATTACGGGCTTGAGCCACCACACCTGGCCTCAAAATGAACATCTGAAGCAACGAAGTCACAGAAAAATGCACTATTTATCTAGGTAATGGAGATGATGTCTTTTGCCAGAGAAAGCAGGCGCACGCAGATGAGAGTGTCTGGATTCCTTTTTGTCTTCATAAAGCGAATCTTGGACTGAAAAACAGTCCAAGAGCTGTTGGAGCTGCCGGGCCAGCTCTAATGAGGCGCCCAGGCAAGCACTCATGGGCCCCACAGGTACCACGCAATTGAACCCTTGTTTGTCTGATAACTTGCAGTGACGTTTATGACATGTGCTGTCTCCACATCTCTTTACCCCTTGGATTTCTCTAGGATGACTGAGGGACGTGGCTGCCTCTGGGGGCACCAGCACCTTCTGTAGCATTGTGGAACATTTCTTCCATGAACTTCTACTCTGGAGCTGGAGAGAACAGTCTGCCAAGTCTTACCTGGTTCTTCCCCATAGCCACCTTGGAATACTCTTTGAACAAGCTCTGCTAAAACCAAACCCATGACCACTGTGTTGGTGGTGGGGCCTCATGCTGTGGCTCAGGGAGGGCCCCTCCCTGCATGTGAGTCTAGCCTTCCTAGACATTACATGATGACCCTTTAAAAAAAAATTAGAGATGGAGGTCTCACTATGTTGCCCAGGCTGATCTCAAACTCCTGGACTCAAGCGATCCACCCCCCTCCACCTCCCAAGGTGTTGGGATTACAGGCGTGAGCCACTGCACCCAGCCTCATGTTGACCCTGGCCCTGGATAGCAGCTTTGTTTGTAGAGGCAGGTGGTGGGAGAGACCCTAGGACAGCCTGAGAGTAACTGGACCTGGTATTGGTGCGGAGTGGGGAATATCCCTTGTCTAAATGCAGAGCAGCTGAGAGAAGTTAGCGGGGCTCTTCCTCCGTTCTCATTGTTTCCTGCTTTCCTTCCCCACCCACCCCTTCCTCAGCACTCTGTGTTGTAGCCTGTACTATCCTGCTTCAAGCCTCCGTGTCCCTTGTACCTTCCCCCTACCTTGAGTTGCCAGTTCTTTACTCCCTCAAATGTTCCCATGCCACCTCTGGGGTTTCTGTTATCTGACATCCCTGGCTGCTTTCCTGGTAGATGCCATTCCCAGAGAGGCCAACAGCGTTCCCAGGCGTGGCTGGCTGGTCCGCATCTCTCAGACTCACTCTGCCAGGCTACAGTTTTGAGAATACCTTTTTTGTTGTTGTTTTGTACCTGGAGAACTTTTTATGAATGAGTAAATCTTCAGAAAGGAATTCCTCCACCCTTACTGGGTTATTGTCAGGTGTAAACGGCCTTTCAGCTGAGCAATGTTCCTATGAGAAGGAAGCCATTTCTCTTGGCTCATGAACACTGCCTTTTGGGTAGTATACCCACACCCAGATCTGTGAAGAGACCTGGAATTGAAGTCTCCATGTCGTCAGGACTTGGTGGCATGTGGATCTTGCTTGACTTGGGAAAAGAGAGGGTGGTGGTGAACTAATAATTATGGAGTCCCCCTAATGTGTCGAACACAATGCTAGATGATTTCCATGATAATAATTACTCATACTTGTGCTAAGCACTTGCGATATCGTACTTCTCACAACAGTCCATGAGGTACTGATTATTATTCCCATTTTCTCATGAGACTAAAGCTCAGAGCTCTAGGATAGTATACAGTGGCAAGAGGAATTTACATCCAAGCACTCAGATTTCAAAGCCCACATTCTTAACTACCGGACTATTCATATTACAGAGCAGGAAAAGGGTCTCAGACAGGTTAAGCAACCTGCCCAGAGTCACACAGCTAATGAGTAGCAGAATCAGGATTCAAACCCAGAGCTGTCAAAAGCAAACCTTATGTTCCTTCCACTGTCCCCTGCTTCCTTGCCCTTCAGAAAGGTCTTGGAAACAGGGGCCAGAGGATGTGGTAGCCACTTCACTGGTGTTCTGTGTCTGAATGGGACTTTCTCACAGGCAGGCCATGCTGGGACCTCAGCCATGGGGGTGGCCAGGGAGGTGGTTGAGCAGAAGGATAGCTGGGGACACTGACTGGGGGTAGAGTCACCCAGTGTCTTTAGACATCCTGCTGTCTAAAGCACTGTGTCCAAAGGGTATGGCACACTTATATGGACAGGTCACCATTCCAAACAAGGAGGCCCAGTGTGTCAATAGGAGAGGTCCTAAAGCAACAAAAAGGGCGGGGTGTCTTGGATGGGCTTCAGGAAGGGAAAGACCATTGTGTCTGGAGCTCAGAGAATGGGGGCTGGTGTTTGAGATGAGGCTGGAGATTGGGCATGGCATCCTCACGCATGTTAAGGAATTGGGGACTTTATCCTTAACATCCTGGAAGCCAGTGATCCCATGGAGAGTGAGAAGATCTGATCTGTGTTTCAAAGGTCACTTGACTGCCGAGCAGCTGGAGGCGAGTTGCTCCTTTAGGAGACTGCTGCAGTTGCCTGGGTGAGAGGCTAGAGGGGTCTGGTCTATAGCAGTGGCAGGGGAGATGGAAAGAAGAGAATGATTTGAGGGGCATTCGGGGGGCAAAATCAACAGGACCTGGGGGGAGACGAAGGGATCAAGAATGATGCCCAGATTCTGGGTGAGTGGCAGTGCTGTGGTGCACAAGTAGTGATGTTATGTTTCCGGGTGACCTGCTGTTTAGCAGGAGCCCAGCCTGTGGCTAAGAAGTATAGAGAACTGAAACTAGCTCCCTAGGGATGGGAAAACCAAGTGGGCTGAGGATAAGAACAGGGCCCCAGGGCTGGGTGCAGTCGCTCACGCCTGTAATCTTAGCACTTTGGGAGGCCGAGGTGGGCGGATCACTTGAGGTCAGGAGTTCGAAACCAGCCTGATCAACACAGTGAAACCCCGTCTCTACCAAAAAATACAAAAATTACCCGGACATGGTGGCACATGCCTGTAGTTCCAGCGCCTTGGGAGGCTGAGGCATGAGAATTTCTTGAACCCGGGAGGTGGAGGTTGCAGTGAGCTGAGATTGCCACTGCACTCCAGCCTGGGCAACACAGTGAGACCCTGTCTCAAAAAAAAAAAAAAAAAAAAGAATAGGGTCCCAGGCTCAGCAGGTAGGGACACTGAGGTAAAATCCTATTCCCTAGGACTAGGGACTAGGAAGGGAGAAAATAGGAAGCTGCTGTGGCATAGGCATCTGCATGGGCAGATGGTGAGGCCAAAGCCCCTGATTTTGCCATACCTCCTGCCCTGGTCAGGACTGGTTCAGGCATTAGGGCAGGCCCAGCCAGGGCAGAAGCCTTCCTAGATACACCTGTGGGGAGTTGAGGAACTACAGCAGGGCTGAAACCCTGCTTTCAGGGGCCCCCATGTGGCTGGTAGGGGCAGCTTTTGGAAGCTAGACTGGATCCTATTACTCCCCAGATGAAAAGTTCAAATTCCTTAATACAACTCAGAGCTCATCACAATGTCACAACCCTCCTTTCTCGGCTCGCTTCCTCCTTAAGAGCTCTGGGGCGATTCTTTCAGACCAGCCTGAGGGATCTTCCACAGGTTGTTAATAGGGCTAGAAACAAAAAGTGGTGGTGTTTCTATGATCTAATTTGTTGGAACAAACGTAGTGTTAAACTCAAACATTTCTGTAGGATTTCTTGGAGCTTTAACTATACTAACATTTACTGTAACTCTTCAGGACAGGGTATGATTACGTATTTCCCACATTTCTTTGGTCAGAGAACCCGTTTTTGTGAGGAGCATTTCATGGGACAGCTGTTGTGAGAAACAGTTTGGGAAGGGCTGTGTTGGTCCCATGGAGGGGCTGGCTGTTCCCAGAGCAGGTCACTCCCCCACTTGCATTGCCTTGCCTGGACTCTTTTCTTGGAGGGAGGTCCCTTTCCTCTACCCATCTGAATTTTTTTTTCTTCCACCAGTGTCCAGCTTGCCTTTCACCATGGGCCTAATGATGGAAATTACAGTTATTTTGTATCTTCAAACAGAACCAAGCAAATCCTCTGAGCTTCATTCATATGGGAAATTTTCTTTCTTTCTTTTTTTTTTTTTTGAGATGGAATTTCGCTCTTGTTGCCCAGGCTGGAGTGCAATGGCTCAATCTCGGCTCACTGCAACCTCCACCTCCCAGGTTCAAGAGTTTCTCCTGCCTCAGCAGGAGGATTACTGTAATCCCAAGTAGCTGGGATTACAGGCCTGCGCCACCACGACTAGCTAATTTTGTACTTTTAGTAGAGATGCGATTTCACCATGTTGGCTAGGCTGGTCTCGAACTCCTGACCTCAGGTGATCCACCCTCCTCAGCCTCCCAAAGTGCTGGGATTACAGGCATGAGCCACAGTGCCGGACATTATGGGAAAATTTTTTGAGGGACTAAACTAATCTCCACAAATAGCAATGCATTTAGGAAATATATTTAAAGGGGAAAAAAAGACTCATAGTTTCACTCAGTCATGTTCATAATTTTTAGTATTTGGGTTTTTTAGCATGTAATTTGTGTACATAGTTTTGGTTTTTGTAAACTTGCATAGGGGTTTTCTGGTACAAACTGGAAAACCTGCTAGACAAATTCTGAAACATCTGTAATGCTTGTAGGTAGTTGTTGTAACACTATGCCCACACATAATCACTTTCCATATTGCTGCATAGTCTTTGTAACCATTTTTCTTCTTCTTTTTTTTGAGATGGAGTTTTGCTCTTGTTGCCCAGGCTGGAGTGCAATGGCGCGATCTTGGCCCACTGCAACCTCTGCCTCCCGGGTTCAAGCTATTCTGCTGCCTTAGCCTCCCGAGTAGCTGGGATTACAGGCACACGCCACCACGCCCGGCTAGTTTTTGTATTTTTAGTAGAGACGGGGTTTCACCATGTCAGCCAGGCTTTTCTTGAACTTCTGATCTCAAGTGATCCTCACTCCTCAGCCTCCCAAATTGCTGGGATTACAGGCGTGAGCCACCACGCCCACCTGTAACCATTATTTTTAAGATTGCTACCATTGGATAGTTCTGTCATGGTCCAACTTTTGGATATTTAAAATTGATCCCTGTGTGGCTAACAGAATTAATGTTTCCAAAAATGTTGAAAATTATATAGTTCTCTTAATTCCCCACCTCTAACTATATTTTTGGGTTATTTCTTTAGGAACAGATGCCCAGGAGTCATATTACTGAGAATCTAGAAATCTTTTGCAAAGTTCTTGTTATATTGCCAAATTGCTTCCCAAAAGGGTTGTTCTAAACCATAATTTCACCAGCAATGTAGGGGAGAACCATTTTTATGCTGCCCTTGTGAGAATTGGGTATGAAAACATTTTTAAAATGATTTTTGATGAGGTGAAAATAATATTTGAATATATTTTAATTTGCCTTTCCCCCACTTATAGTGAGCTTAAACATTTTTTCCTTTTCCTAGCTGTATTTCTCCCTTTGTTATTCGTTCTTTCGTCCATTTATCTACTGGGGAGATGGGGAGTGTTATCTTTTTAGTTTATCAGTTATTTGCATTTTAAATATAACCATTTGCCATATTTTAACAACGATTTTTCCATTAAATAATTCTTTTTATAAAAAAACTTTATATATCTGTTGATGTTTTGTGATTTTTATTGCTTCTAAGCTAATACAGATTTTTGGATCTTATTCAATTTCGCTTTCTTCTGTTTAGGTTATTATCTGGTTTTATACCTAACTACTTATTTTCAAATTGCTAACCAGTTATCCTAATAGTATTTACTGAATTCCTTCCCACTCCTACATCACATATTAAAATTATTTTATGCCTAAATTATTTATAATATTTCAGTTATTCTTCCTATAATTACAATTTGAACCATCAAAGTAGGTTTTCATAGTTGGCAGAGCTAGTTCTTCTTCATAATTCTGTTTCAGAATTTTCTTTGATATTCTTCCTCAACATTTTAAACATTTTGTCAAGTTTCAGTGCAACTGACTTTTGGTTTTTATTTATTTAAAAACTGGGCCATGCCGGGCGCAGTGGCTCACGCCTGTAATCCCAGCACTTCGGGAGACTGAGATGGGTGAATCACTTGAGGTCAGGAGTTTGAGACCAGACTGGCCAATGTGGTGAAACCCCATCTCTACTAAAAATACAAAAATTTGCTGGGCATGGTGGCATGTGCCTGTAATCCCAGCTACTGGGGAGGCTGAAGCAGGAGAATTGTTTGAACCCGGGAGACGGAGGTTGCAGTGAGCCAAGATTGTGCCACTGCACTCCAGCCTGGGCAACAGAGTGAGACTCCATCTCAAACAAACAAACAAACAAACAAACAAAAAACTGGACTAGGCGTGGTGGCGGTTTGGGAGACTGAGGCTGGAGGATTGCCTGAGGCCAGCAGTTTGAGGTTACAGTGAGGTATGACTGTGCCACTGCACTCCAACCTGGGTAAGACCCTATCTCTGAAAAACAAACAAGCAAACCCCAGAACTCTGGCTGCAAAAGTAGTACATATTTCTTTGAAGGAAAAAAAGGAAAACTTGATAATCCTACCACCCAAAGATGTTTTTAAATCACTTATGTGGTACTCAGTTATGTGCCATGCACTGTCCAAGTGCTTACAAATATTATACTAACTCCCTTTGTGTTTATAACAACTGTCTGAAGTCAGTAGACTCATTTTCCAGTTTTCCAGTTTAGGAAACTGATATTACACCTTTTCTACAGATGGGGAAACTTGCCCAGGGTGCCCAGGCAGTCCGCAGAACCATGCTTTGAATCAGGGCAGTGTGGTTCCAGGGTCCTGTACAGATCAAACACCCTGACTCTGCCATTCCATCAGATACATGATTCATATTTTGGTGTATTTGCCTCCAATCTTGAGCAAAGTGGGTTGTCCCTGTACATACTTTGTGTAATCTTTTAGCTTAACAGGTGTCATGAACACTTCCGTATCATAAATCTTTCCCAGCATGATTTTTATTATCTATTTAATATTTCTCATATTCAATGTAGAACAATGCACTTAACCAATTTCTCATTTTTGTAATAATTTTCTTCCCATTTTCCCCTGTAATAACACTGCTGAGATATATATTTTTTTCTTCTTTTTTTTACTGTTCTGAAGATACTCTGGCAGAAATGTATGTTCCTCAGGCTAAATCTTTTCACACATCCACAATCATTTTATCATAAATTCTAGAGCTGGAAACGCTGAGTCTAATGTTTTATATATATATATATATATGTTATATATCTGTCACCCAGGCTGGAGTGCAGTGTGGTGTGATCTCAGCTCACTGCAACCTCCGCCTCCCGGGTTCAAGCCATTCTCCTGCCTCAGTCTCCCAAGTATCTGGGACTACAGGCGCGCGCCACCACAACCGGCTAATTTTTGTAATTTTAGTAGAGGCGGGGTTTCACCTTGTTGGCCAGGCTGGTCTCGAACTGCTGACCTCAAGTGAGCCGCCCGCCTCGGCCTCCCAAAGTGCTGGGATTACAGGCGTGAGCCACCGCGCCCGGACTGTTATATATTTTAAAGGCTTCTGATCCATATCGCCAAACAGTCCTCTGGATCGATTTGCATCTGTATCCGCTGCTCCATCTGCAGTATACGGACATGCTCCACTTCACCCACACTGGGTCATTAAAAGAACAAACAAAAATAAGAACTTGATCGATTTGGGATTTTAAATGGAAATGCACTAAAAATTCCTTAATTCCACCATTCACCGTCTACCATAGAGGAACAGCCCATCTGCACGGAGAGACAGCTACGTAATTCACTGCAGCATTATAATACTGAAAAATTAAAATGAACGAAATGTTCCATAACCGACGAACGGCCGAATGACCGGCGTCTCCACTCCGCGGAACGTTCTGCGAGCGCTAAGGGGATGGCGGGAGTGCATGATTTGGAGCGGGCGGTGAGAAAAGCAAGCTCCCGCCGCCTCTCCGTTTTGGCAACCCGGCTGACGGTCGTTTCGGCTTCTGGGGCCAGCCGTCGGTCTGGGCGAGGGACATAGATCCGGATTCGCATCCTGACTGGCCAACCAACGCTGGCCGAGGTGACCACTCTCCTCGGCATCCGCACCTGCCCTCCAAGGCGTCAGAGAGGCCGGACCCTTGGGTGCTAGGGCTCGTGAGCGCCGGGGCCAAGTTTCCGAGTGCCGCTCTCAGCAGCGCACCAACCGGAAGTGATCGTGTTGTGGCGGAAGGAGGAGCTTTCTGGGAGTAGCCGGTGCTGAGAGAACCGTGGCTGGCAAAGATGATTCAGGCGATTCTGGTTTTCAACAACCATGGGAAGCCACGGCTAGTCCGCTTCTACCAGCGTTTCGTGAGTGCGGCCCGGCTTCACCACGCCCCTTCAGGGCGCCCACTATGTCTTCCCTCCTCTTTGGCCTCTCGGCGCCCGGGGGCACCGCTCTTTGGTCACCTGGGGCTCCTGCACCGAGCATGACCCTCGCCCTACTTAAGCATTTAATCTAGGCGCAGGCTGGTGCCAGGCCTTCTGTCTCCCGCCCTACTGCCCCGCTCTCGCTGACCCTTTTCTTGATCCTGGCATTTCTGTGCCATTTTGTGACATTTTCCCGTGGGTCTCTGGGAACGAGATAGAAGCGACAGTGGGGAGTGTGCCTCGATGAGAACTTGAGTGATTGAAGTCACATTCTGTCATCTTTTTGGTTGTTGACCACAGTTTCATGAGGAAGAAATATTAAGTTTCTGAAAGTTTTTGTTATAGCCAGAACTGGAAAAGTTCTTTTTTTTTTGGAATTATTTTGCTTCAGTGTTGGCTGGGACTTTCCAGAGACTAGATACCCTTCACTCTTAGGGTTGAAGAAAATCAGTTTAAAAGTGGAAAAATGATGAGAAATTATAAATGCTGCCGCATAAGGGCTCAATAAGTGATTACGTAAATTTGAATTTTCCCAACACGTTCCTTTGCAAACACATAAACATCAGTATTTGCTTCCTGTCTTCGAAGATTATATTTCTTCATGGCAGGGTTTCAAAATGTTACATAATTGGGGGACTGGTGGAACTGAAGAGGGGAAAGAGCCAGAAAACGTGTTCAGGCTTCAGCTCCACCTTTTCTACTCTTGCGTCTGTTGACAAGTTAATAAACCCTTTTCAGACTTTTATTGTCTTTTGTCAATTAGAAATGAAAAAATAATTTTACTCCTTCATAAGATTTTTAAAGCTAGATTACATTTTATTAAGTAGATTACATCGAGGTAAAAATATGAGTATTCAGGCCGGGCGCGGTGGCTCACGCCTGTAATCCCAGCACTTTGGGAGGCCGAGGCGGGCGGATCACGAGGTCAGGAGATGGAGACCATCCTGGCTAACACGGTGAAACCCCGTCTCTACTAAAAATACAAAAAATTAGCCAAGCGCGGTGGCGGGCACCTCCAAGTCCCAGCTACTCAGGAGGCTGAGGCAGGAGAATGGCGTGAGCCCGGGAGGCGGAGCTTGCAGTGAGCCAAGATAGCGCCACTGCACTCCAGCCTGGGCGAAAGAGCGAGACTCCATCACACACACACACAAAAAAGTATATATATATATGTATGTATATGAGTATTCAGCGTAACTATTTGTATTTGCATTTGTGTGTATGCAAATTTCCCCCCTAGTTTTTTTCTAACAGGGTTACTGAGATAAAACTAACATGCCATACTGTTTACTTATTTATTTTATGTTATTTACTTATAGAGACGGGGTCTTTCTATGTTGCCCAGGCTGGTCTTGAACTCCTGGGCTCAAGCAATCCACCGGACTCAGCCTCCCAAAGTGCTGGGATTACAGGCATGAGCCACTGTGTCCGGCCCCAGTTTACTTATTTAAAGGGGACAATTCAGTGTTTTTTAGCATGTTCACAGAAGCTGTGTAACCATCACCACAATCAATTTTAGATCATTTTCATCACCCCAAAAAGAAACCTCTGCCCATTAGCAGTCACTCCCTATTTCTCCATGACTCTCCCAGCCCCAGAGAGTTTCTTTCCCTCTAAATTTGCCAGTTCCAGAATGGCAAATGGAATTTGCCTATTCCGTTGCCTATAAATGGAATCATAAATAAGTGGTTTTTTGTGTGTCTGCCATGTTTCATGTAGTATAATGTTTTCAAGATTCATCCATGTTGTAGCATGTATCTGATGTTCTTCATTTCTTTTATTGCTGAATAATATTCCATTATATGGATATGCCATATTTTGATTGTCAATTTATAAGTTGATATTTCTGCTTTTTGGCTCTTCTAATTAATGCTGCTATGAACATTCTTGTGCAAGTTTTTATGTGGACTTATGACTTCATTTCTCTTGGTTATATACCTAGGAGTAGAATTGCTGGATCATATGGTAACTGTGGTGAACATTTTGAGAAACTGCAAACTATTTGACAAATTTTCCAAGTGGCTGCACCATTTTACATTTCCATCAGCAATGTATAATGATTCCAGTTTCTTCACATCCCTGCCATTCGTTATTTATTTATTTATTTTTGGTTAAAGACATTTTAGTGGGTGTAAAGTGGTATCTCACTGTGGCTTTTTTTTTTCCCTCCGAGACTGAATCTCACTCTATCTCCCAGGCTGCAGTGGCGTGATCTCGGTTCACTGTAACCTCTGCCTCCCGGGTTCAAGTGATTCTCCTGCCTCAGTCTCCTGAGTAGCTAGGATTACAGGTGCCCACGACCATGCCTGGCTAATTTTTGTATTTTTAGTAGAGATGGGGTTTCGCTGTGTTGGCCAGGCTGGTCTCGAACTCCTGACCACAAGTAATCTGCCCGTCTTGGCCTCCCAAAGTGCAGGGATTACAGGCGTGAGCCACCGCACCCAGCTCATTGTGGTTTTGATTTCAGTTTCCAAAATGACTAATGATGTTGAGCATCTTTTCATGTGCTTATTGCCCATTCGTGTATCTTTGGATCATAGGATTTTTATAAGACCTCATGAGCTCATGGATGAAAGTACCTTGAAAACTACAGAGTACTAAAAAGATATGAGGGGTTATTAAAATCACTGAGGCATGTAAGCAATTGGTAGTTTACCTTTTTATTGAACTAGAAATTAGGTAGCCTCATCATTTCGTACCACTTCCCCACTGCTGCCACTTCCCCCAGAGTCAGATAAAAGGCTTTAGTTCAAAAGATGTCTTTGTCAGTTTTAAAAAGTGCTGATGCTTAGCATGTTTTGTATTTTGCATATATAGAGTTCGTCTCCTACAGCATCCTGTCATCTGTGAGCTTTGTTTGTTCTTTAAATGGAAATGAGGAAAATAGTGATTAATTTACTCAAATTTGTAGTGACCAATGATTAGCAAGTTTTCATTCAGTCAGTAAATACTGTGAGCCATTCCATACCCATGTGAGTCAAAGTAATTTCCCCACAATTACGTTTTCCCTTTTTTCCCCTCTCTGTTTCTTTTAAATAACCATTTCAAAGCTAAATTCAGGGCTATAGAAAGAAAGGGATTAAAATTACTTGAACCTATTTTCTAACTCTTGGGGCAAGTCCAATTTGAAGGTTTTCTTATGATTCGTTACTCAAAGTGTGGTCCCCAGACCAGCAGAAATGTTATTGCCTGGGTGCTTACTAGACTTGCATCTCAGGACTTAACCTATACCTGCTAAATCCGAATCTGTATTTTAACAGCATTCACAGCTGATTCATTGCAAATGAAGATTTGAGAAGCAATGCTCTAGAGCTTTAAGTTATTATCTGTCTTAATTGCTGGTTTCTCCCTCTCTTACCCTTTTAACCATACTTCTTCTGAAACTCATATGTATAATTAGAAATCAAAGGTGAGTTATCAAAGTGATTTCATCAGAGTTGAGCTTTCTTATGCACGTAGTAAGTGAAAAAATAAGGCCAGACATGGTGGCTCACACCTGTAATCCCAGCACTTTGGGAGGCCAAAGCAGGTGGATCACTTGAGGTCAGGAGTTCAAGACCAGCCTGACCAACATGGTGAAACCCCATCTCTACTATAAATACAAAAATTAGCCGGGCATGGTGGCACATACCTGTAATCTCAGCCACTGGGGAGGCTGAGGCAGGAGAATCGCTTGAACCCGGAGGTGGAGGTTGCAATGAGCTGTGATCACACCACTGCCTGGGCAACAGAACAAGACTCTGTCTAAAAATAATAATAATACATTTTATTTGTAACTGTTCAAAATTTTAATCTGTAATCTATTTTTCTCAATAATACTTTGTTGGTGAGTAACACAGCATCTTATATGTAGTATCTATATTACCAGTACAAAAGATGGCAGCTGTATTTGCCAATATAACTTTTTAAAACATTTACATGATTACTTCTTGACCTTTTTTTTTTTTTTTTTTTTTTTTTGAGATGGAGTCTCACTCTGTCGCCCATGCTGGAGTGCAGTGGCGTGATCTCGGCTCACTGTAACCTCCGCTTCCTGGGTTCAAGCAGTTCTCCTGCCTCAGCCTCCCGAGTAGCTGGGATTACAGGCATGCGCCACCACGCCCAGCTAATTGTTTTTTTGTTTTATTTTGTTTTGTTTTTTTTTGTATTTTTAGTAGAGATGGGGTTTCACCATATTGGTCAGGCTGGTCTCGAACTCCTGACCTTGTGATCTGCCTCCTAAAGTGCTGGAATTTCAGGCGTGAGCCACTGTGCCTGGCCCACATCTTGACCTTCTTAAAATGTTAGACCTGTTGAGATTTATTATATCTTTGTCATAGATGTTTTCCAGGGGAAGACAAAATATTTCAGGATCAGGCCTTCCAGTTATTCTCTGACTTTGTATGAGAGTTTATCAATGTTCCTTTTCTTGTTTAAATATCAGCTTACCTATAGGACAGTAATGGTTAGTGACTTAGATATTTAGGTAAATATACCCTATCTTAATTCCTGTATCAGAGCATTGTCACCCATCTTTCATAGATTCACTCCTATTTTTTCTCATCATTTTTATCATTTCTAGAAACAAGTACTAAATGTTTAGATGTTCCCAGCTTAGAAACACTTCTTCCCTTGTCCATCCCCATGGATGGGATGTAGTTTTTCAGGCTTGCCCACTGATTCACTTATCTTTTTGTTTCATAGCCAGAAGAAATTCAACAGCAGATTGTTCGAGAGACTTTCCATCTAGTCCTCAAGCGGGATGACAACATCTGTAACTTCTTGGAGGGTGGAAGGTAAACTGTCAGCTTCATTTTTCTCCCCATATATCCACTTGTGAGTGGCCTTCATTATTGCATCTTCTGACAGTACTCAAGTGTCAGGTGGGTACTTGATGCAACTTTAGCTGGTCTCACCATGATCTGCTCAGGGAGAGACACAATTCTCTTTGGGGCGCAGTTCAATTATTGTGCTTCTGATATTGCTCATTTAGATGATTGATCCCCGGGAGGATAGGCAGGAGAAGAGGTGAGGTAAGGTGGCTTTAGGTACCTCTGCCAAACTTGGTTGCCATTCACCTAGTAAGAATGGCCTGCTTCTAGCGTTTGGCCTTCTCCTTTCCAGTGGGTCCTTTCTCATTCTTTGGCACAAGGTTTCTTTTTGATGTGTTTAATTAAGCTGTGGGCATTTAAATGTTTCCCATCTTCTGCAGTTTGATTGGTGGCTCTGACTACAAACTGATCTACCGGCACTATGCTACCCTCTACTTTGTATTTTGTGTGGATTCCTCAGAGAGTGAACTTGGAATCTTGGACCTCATCCAGGTATGTGTAGTCAGCTAATGATGGCAGCAGCTTTAGAGAGTTTCCACGGGATTTTTGAGTAACCAGCCTGTAGAACCTTGTGTCCATCTCCTTATTGATACTAGTAAAAGTTGCCAGATGTCCACCAGATGGTGCTCTGGGAGAGCTCCTGAGAAACCCTCAGCACTTTTAGATTTATTGGTTTCTATCTAGCCCTTGCACTGCCCTTGGTTTTCATTTACAAATTTATACTTTGGCCGGGTGTGGTGGCCCACAGTCTGCTTACAGATTGTCTTTATTACCTTCATGAAAACTGAGATGTGTAGGGACCCTAGCTTGGGAACTATTTATTTAGCATTATTTCATCGTTTTATATGTGAGATTCTAGATGAGCTTCTTTTAAGTACTTGAATAAGCCCATAGGTAGAAAGCACTCAAATAGATGCTACATTGAAAACTTAAGTAACAACAATTGTGGAAAAGAAAATTCTATAGCTATAAAATGTAAACTTTAAATGCTTACAACAGGCCAGACATGTACATTTTACAGCTATAGAATTTTCTTTTCCACCTATGGGCTTATAGGCTCATGCCTATAATCCCAGCACTTTGGGAGGCCAAGGCGGGCGGATCACTTGAGGTCAGGATTTTGAGACCAACCTGGCCAATGTGGTGAAAACCCATCTCTACTAAAAATACAAAAATTATCCAGGCATGGTGGTGTGCACCTGCAGTCCCAGCTACTCAGGTGGCTGAAGCAGGAGAATTATTTGAACCTGGGATGTGGAGGTTGCAGTGAGCCGAGATCATGCCACTGCACTCCAGCCTGGGCAACAGAGTGAGACTCCGTCTCAAAAAAATAATAAATTAAAAATAAATAGGCCGGGTGCGGTGGCTCATGCCTGTAATCTCAGCATTTTGGGAGGCCGAGGCAGATGGATCAAGAGTTCAAGACCAGCCTGACCAATGTGGTGAAACCCGGTCTCTACTAAAAATACAAGAATTAGCCGGGCGTAGTGGCACGTGCCAGTAATCCCAGCTACTCGGGAGGCTGGGGCAGGAGACTTGCTTGAACCCGGGAGGCAGAGGTTGCAGTGAGCCGAGATCGCACCACTGCACTCCAGCCTGGGTGACAGGGCGAGACTCCGTCTCAAAAAAAAAATAATAATAAAAATAAATACATAAATAAATGCTTAGAACAAAATTTGTTTTCTTAAGATAAAAGTTTAAAAGCTAAATATATCTTGGAACAAATAAATTGAAATTTTGAATATATAGTTTTGTAGGATAATTAAAAATTTCATACGTCGTATTCACTTATACATAAAAATATAAATAAAGATGAACCCATCTAAAACAGATGCATCTCGGAGATAATTTTTAAATACTTTCTTAAAACCTGAGTCAGATTGGACATTGATAATCAGCATAATAGAAAGAGCTCAAGGCGGGGTGCAGTGGCTCACACCTGTAATCCCAGCACTTTGGGAGGCCAAGGTGGGTGGATCACTTGAGGCCAGGAATTTGAGACCAACGTGGTCAGCATGGTAAAACCATGTCTCTACTAAAAATACAAAAAATTAGCTGGGCCTGGTGGCATATGCCTGTACTCCCAGCTACTTGGGAGGTTGAGGTGGGAGAATCGCATGAACCCAGGAGGCGGAGGTTGCAGTGAGCCAAGATTGTGCCACTCCACTCCAGCCTGGGCAACAGAGTGAGACCCTGTCTCAAAAAAAGAAAAAAAGCTCAAGATCTAGCATCAGAAAATCTGGGTTTGGGTCATGAATCTACCATCTGAAAAGTGATATTAGGTTGTAGAATTCAAATGTGAGAATGTGCTTTATAGTACTGTTAACTGTATGTAGCAGGCTATAGAAATGTGTACATAATACGAGTTTATTTGAAAATTAAGGAAATATAGTGATAATGTATTTTAAAAATTGGGATGGAGTGCTTGCCTCAGCAGCATATATTCTAAAAGTGTACCAGTGCAGAAAAGATTAGCATTGCCACTATGCAAGGATGACATGCAAATTGGTGAAGCATTCCATATTATAAAAAATAAAGAAAATTTTTTAAAAGAGAAAAAAAAATTGGGCCACAGTTATTAGAGAAAATGGACCTTGGAGATTTGTATTAACAATACAAAAAGACTAACTTTATAACTTTTTTTACTTTTTTATTTATTTATTTTTTTTGAGATGGAGTCTTGCTCTGTTGCCAGTCTAGAGTGCAGTGGCACGATCTCAGCTCACCACAACCTCCGACTCCCTGGTTCAAGCGATTCTCCTGCCTTACTCAGCCTCTCGAGTAGCTGGGATTACAGGCACATGCCCAGCTAATTTTTGTAGTTTTAGTAGCGACAGGGTTTCACCATGTTGGCCAAGATGGTCTCGATATCCTGACCTTGTGATCCGCCCGCCTCGGCCTCCCAAAGTGCTGGGATTACAGGTGTGAACCACTGCGCCCGGCCTCTAACTTTATAATTTAATAGACACTTATTAAATATTTAGTGTACATTGTACATTGGATTTGGTAAGATCAGATAAGTAAAATGTAAAAATAATAGGAACTAAAAAGTTTGATTTTTTTTTTTTTTTTTTTTTTGAGACAAGGTCTTGCTCTCAAACTGTAGTGCAGTAGTGTGATCACAGCTCACTGCAGCCTCCATCTCCCAGGCTCAACCCATCCTCCTACCTCAGTCTCCTGAGTAATGGGGCCTACAGGCATGCGTCACCACATCTGGCTAATTTTTTGAATTTTTTAGAGATGAAGTCTCACCATGTTGTCCAGGCTGGTCTCGAACATCTCAGCTCAGGCAGTCTTCCCACTTTGGCCTCCCAAATTGCTGGGATTACAGGTGTGAACCACTGGACCCATCTGATCTTTGAAAAGACAATAAAAATTAATAAATAGTTGGCCTAATTGATATAAAGAAGATAGAAGTCAGAAATAGAAAACATTGTTTTAAAGGGATGATATATACATAGTTATACTACCAATATATTTGAAATAGCCGACTACAAAAATAACTGCTCTGGCCTGGGGCAGTGGCACATGCCTGTAATCCTAGCACTTTGGGAGGCCAAGGAGGGTGGATCACTTGAGACCAGGAGTTTGAGACCAGCCTGACCAACATGGTGAAACTTCGTCTCTACTAAAAATAGAAAAATTAGCTGGGCATGGTGGCACATGCCTGTAATCCCAGCTGCTTGGCTGTTTGGGTAGCCAAGGCATGAGAATCACCTGAACCTGGGAGGCAGAGGTTGCAGTGAGCTGAGATCACACCATTACACTCCAGCCTGGGCAATAGAGCGAGACTCTATCTCAAAAAAAAAAACAAGAACAAAAAACTGCCCAAATGAGGTCAACATAAAGGCACTGAAATAATATTAGGATGAAATAATAGATGTTAAAAAAAGAACTGACTCCCTAATGGGGTCACAGTAGAATTTTTTAAAGTTGAAGTACATTAAAACCTGGATGTTACATTAAGTTATTTTTTAAAACTTAGAACAAGGAATCCTACTACCTAAGCGCATTTTATGGAATAAATTGGTTATCATCCAAAAACCTGACTCTAAAAAGGAAGATGGGCCAGGCACAGCGGCTCACGCCTGTGATCCCAGCACTTTGGGGGCCGAGGCAGGAGGATCACGAGGTCAGGAGTTCGAGACCAGCCAGGCCAATATGGTGAAACCTTGTCTCTACTAAAAATACAAAAAAAATTAGCTGGGTGTGGTGGCATGCGCCTGTAGTCCCAGCTACACGGGAGGCTGAGGCAGAAGAATCGCTTGAGCTGGGAGGCGGAGGTTGCAGTGAGCCGAGATTGCGCCACTGCACTCCAGCCTGGGTGATAGAGTGAGACTCTATCTCAAAAAAAAAAAAAAAGGGGAAGATGTTCGTCAAATATTGCGTATTAGTACTGGTACAAAATTACTTACTAAGTAAAATCTTAGCCGACAATCAGTTGAACCAAGGGATTGTGAGACCTGCCTTTTTTTTCTTTTTGACTCTGCCATTAACAAGCAGTGTGACCTTAAACAAATCATCTAGGCTTTATTGGCCTTAAGGGTTTTTGTTTGTTTTGCATTTTGTCTCTTCTGTGTGTTGAGTGGTTTTTTTTTAATCTACAAAGATACTAGATATTCTTTTCTAGCCCTAAAATTATTTCTTTAGCAGGAAAACTGCATACTATTAAATAGAAGAATTATACATTGTGTCCAAATAGTATTTATCCCAAGAATGCAAGTCAGTATAACAAAGAAAAATTAATAGTCTATTATAGCAGTAAGAAAAACTAATATAATAAAAATTAGTAGTTGCTGAGAGGAGCGATTATACAAATTATATTAAATACACTCAAACTGGAATAAGAAGCATTTTTGATTAAAAGTACACATTTATTAATGTAACTGTTTACTTTCTGAAGAAATGAATATAGTTATGTGGTTCAGAATTCAGAGGCACACTATGAGTATACAGGTTGAATATCCCTTTGAAATGTTTGGGACCAGAAGTGTTTTGGATTTTGGACTTTTTCAGATTTGGGGATATTTGCATTATACTTATCCTAAATCTGAAAGTCCAAAACCTGAAATGACCAATAAGCATTTCCTTTGAGCATCATGTTGGCACTCAAAAATTTTGGATTTTGCAGTGTTTTGGATTTCAGGTTTTTGGATTTTAAGTGTTCAACCTGTATAGTGAAAAATATCCTTCTTCCCCTTTCCCCTTATCACCTAGTTTACTTTCCTTGAAGCAATCAATTTTAGTTTCAAAACCAAGAGCCAAGAACCAGAGCCAATGTTATCTCAAGGGTGAAATCTGTAGGCATTTATGAATGCTCTTGTTGGGTGTTTCGTCCAGGTGCAGTGGCTCATACCTATAGTCCCAACCCTTTGGGAGCCTGAGGCAGGAGGATCACTTGAGCTCAGGAGTTCAAGACCAGCCTGGGCAACATAGTGAGACCTAGTCTCTATAAAAAATCAGGTGGTGTGCCCCTGTGGTCCCAGCTACTCATGTGGCTAAAGCAGGAGGACTGCTTGAGCCCAAGGGGTTGAGGTTTCAGTGAGCCATATTCATGCCACTACACTCCAGCTTGAGTGACAGAGCGAGATTCTGTCTCAAAAAAAAAAAAGGAGTATCTTTTATTGTTTACTCTAATTTTAACAAACATTTGTAGTGAGTGATACAAAAACAAATGAAGAAGTGACATAGTAAAGAAAGAAAGAGAGGTAAGTTATCAATGTAAGGTGGCCGGATTATGGACATAGAAAATATTTTTAAAGAATTATAAGTAAGGAAATGATATGAGCAAAATGACAGAATATGAGATAAAGCCAACAAAATTAAATTTCCTATTTCTGAGAAAACAGCTAGAAAATTCATAATTAAAGAAGTCTCATTTACAGTAATAATAAAGGATAGTTAGTGCTTGGGAATTAACTTGGTATGGAATACTTGACATTGATTCCAATAAAATTATAAAATCTTAAAGAAAAAACAAAGGAATAGTTGGAACAAATGGAGCTACAAACTCTCCCGTTGTTGGGAAGAGTCAAGCAAAGATGACAGTAGTCCCAAAGGTGGTGAGCAATACATCAAATGGAAAACCAAGTATAATTCCGTCAGGAGAGTTTATAGAACTCAGTAAAGGCAAAATTTATCAGGGAAAAGGAGTGGCCAAGAAATGCAGAAGTATATTTCTAGGGAAAAAGGACAGTGATGGGAGATTTGCTTTACTAGTTTTCAGAATGTATAATAGTTACAGATGAATTGATTATCTAGAAAATCCAAATCAGTTGGAAACAATTGGAACTAATAATAGAGTTCTGTAAGGTGACTAAATACAAGTTTAACATATGGAAATTAGTAGCTTTTGGCCAAGCACAGTGGGTCACGCCGGTAATCCCAGTCCTTTGGGAGGCCGAGGCGGGCAGATCACTTGAGGTCAGGAGACTTTGAGACCAGCCTAGCCAACATGGAGAAACCCCGTCTCTACTAAAAATACAAAAAATTAGCCGAGTGTGGTGGCACATGCCTGTAATCGTAGCTACTCAGGAGGCTGAGGTAGGAGAACCTCTTGAACCCAGGAGGCGGGGGTTGTGGTGGGCTGAAATTGTACTCTGGCCCGGGCAACAAGAGCGAAACTCCGTCTCAAAAAAAAAAAAAAGAGTAGGTCAAAGCAGAACAGGGGGGTAAAATGAGTGTTCTCAGCTGATTCAGGTAGCAGAGCACCTAGGATAACAGACACTGGATACTTTGTTTCTTTTTTTAATTAATATGAATAAAACTACTCTAAGTCTTTATGCAAACGGTTGTGCCTATTCTGCTAAAAACAGAATGCCTGGATCAAAGGGAATTAATATTTCTAATCATAATGCATGTTGCTAGATAGATATTTAGAAAGAGTATGTTAGCCAGGCACGGTGGCTCACACCTGTAACCCCAGCACTTTGGGAGGCCGAGGCGGGCGGATCACCTGAGGTCAGGAGTTCAAGACCAGCCTGGCTAACATGGTGAAACCCTGTCTCTACTAAAAATCCAAAAAGTTAGCCGGGCGTGGTGGTATGCACCTGTAATCCCAGCTACTTGGGGGGTTGAGGCAGGAGAATTGCTTGAACCCGGGAGGTGGAGGTTGCAGTAAGCTGAGATCGTGCCATTGCGCTCCAGCCTGGGCGACAACAGTGAGACTCCATCTCAAAAAAAAAAAAAATGAAGAGTATGTTAATTTATAATGCCTCTAGTACTATATAAGTTTGTTTCCTTGTAACTCCAGTACTGAAATGTGTCATTTTAAATTTCTACCCAGGTAGAGGTACCTCACACATTTGAATTTTTATTAATCATGCTTCCTTTTTCCACGTGTGGGTTTATAATTTTGTTTTCCATGTCAGCCTTCTATAATATAATTGAACCACTTGTCCAGTGAAATCTAGATCCTGGCTTATAATGTCATATTTTGTATATTCTAAGGTGCGCATTTTATCACACTTCAATAACTCTAAAATCTGGATGTGTGTTGTAGTGGGTGACATCTTAACAATTATAATTGGCAGCATTTTTTTTCTTTGTTAGATAAAATAATGGTTTGCCTTATCATCAACAAATAAGTAAATCTGCGTATTTTGAGTTTATTTTAAAACTTATTTAACTAATTATTGTCTAACCTATTATATTAAGTGTAAATAATCCATTTTTACCTCCCCTTGTTGAAGAAACTCTAATGTTGTATACTGTATTAAGTTCAGAGTGAAACCCAAGCCCCCTATTACAGCCTGTAAGGCCCAACATGGTCCGGCTCCTTTGCCTCTCTCTCCCCTCACCGTATACACGCTCATCTTCACTATGCTCTAGGCTTCTTGCTGTTCTTCAAACACAAGTACATTTTTGTGTCTGGGCCTTTATACTTGTTCTGTCCCCTGGAATACTCTCATCTAGGTTCCTTCACTTCAGCTCTTTCAATGACTGACTTTTACCATTTATGTCTCAGCTCGAATTTTAATCCTTGGACAAACTTTCTTAGCACTCTATCTGAAGTAACCCCTGTCACATCATCCTGTTTACTTCCTTCAGGGCACTTAGGACAATAGAAAATATCTTGTTTCATTTGCCTCCTTGTTCTTCCCACACCCAGAATATAAACTGGATAAGAACATGACTTGTTGACTGTGGTGTCAACAATGGTATGTTCCTAGCATGTAGTCATCACACCTTTAACAATGGTTGAATAAACATTTAATACATAATTGGATTTAGTTTTTACCCTTCATTTCTTCATTTTATTCTACTGAGTTAACTGAGTTACATTTTTCTTTCTGCATTACTTTCATGTTGTTTTATTTATTGTTTCTTTTTTTTTTTTTGAGACGGAGTCTTGCTCTGTTGCCCAGGCTGGAGTGCGGTGGCGCAATCTCGGCTCACTGCAACCTCCGCCTCCTGGGTTCAAGCGATTCTCCTGCTTCAGCCTCCTGAATAGGTGGGACTATAGGCGCCCACCACCGCACCTGGCTAATTTTTGTATTTTTAGTAGAGTCGGGGGTTTCACCATGTTGACCAGGCTGGTCTCAAACTCCTGACCTCGGCCTCCCAAAGTGTTGGGATTACAGGCGTGAGCCACTGCACCTGGCTATTTATTGTTTCAATATAGTTTCACATACCTAGTAAGACTAGTTATTTCCCCTTTGTGGCAGTTGTTTTTCAGTACGTTCTCTGATATTTATAACTATTTGTTCATCCATATGTATTCTTGAATAATTTGTAAAGGTCCCAAAAAGTCCCTGTTGGATTATAATTATAATTAGAAGTGAATTAACAGTTAGCATTTCCCTCTTGTTTATTCATTTCTTCTTTTGAATCTTACATTAAAGTTTCTTTTATTTATTTTTTATTTTTTGGAGACAGAGTCTCACTTCGTCACCCAGACTCCAGTGAAGTCTAGATCCTGGCTTATAATATCATATTTTATATATCCTAAGATGCACATTTTATCACATTCTAATAACTCTAAAATCTGAGATCATGCCACTGCACACTGGGCAACAAGAGTGAGACTCCATCTCAAAAAAAAAAAAAAAATGAAGAGTATGTTAATTTATAATGCCTCCAGTACTATGTAAGTTTGTTATATAATTTGGAGTCTCACTCTTGTCGCCCAGAGTGCGGTGGCGTGATCTCAGCTCACTGCAACCTAACTTTGAGGTTAGGAGTTCAAGACCAGCCTGGCCAACATGGTGAAACTGTATCTCCACTAAAAATGCAAAAAAATTAGCCAGGCGTGGTGACAGGTGCCTGTAGTCCCAGCTACTGAGGAGGCTGAGGCAGGAAAATCACTTGAACCCAGGAGGTGGAGGTTGCAAAGAGCCGAGATTGTGCCACTGCACTCCAGGCTGGGTGACAAAGTGAGACCCCAAAAAATAAAAATTAATAAAAATTAAAAGTAATCATACTCTATATATAGTTCTAAAACTTTCTTTTTCATCATTTAAGTTCTGGAGCTTTTTCCACATGCAGTTTTTTTTGACGGTGTGTGATTTTCCATAATATGGATGTATCATCATCTTTGATTCATCATGCTACTTGTGGGCATCTATGTTTTTCCCAATTTCTTGCTATTGTAAAGGATGCTGCAATGACATCCTTCCACGTGCATCTATATGCACATATGTTAATTCCCATAGTACAGATTTCTCAATTGGAATTGCTGCTTTAATAAGGGCATGTGTTTTTTAAATGGATAGATACTGCTGAATTGCCTCCAAACAAAGGCTTTGCCTTTGATACTTGTACTAATGGAATGTAATAAGAATGTATCTGTTTACCCATAACCTCACTGACTTTTGAATATTAAGAATATTTTCACACTGGGTGCAATGGCTCACGCCTGTAATACCAATACTTTGGGAGGCCAAAGCAGGAGGATCGCTTAAGCCCTGGAGTTTGAGACCTTCCTGGGCAGCATAGTGAGACTTTGTCTCTACGAAAAAATTAGCCTGGCTGGGTGCGGCGGCCCACGCCCGTAATCCCAACGCTTTGGGAGGCTGAGGCAGGCAGATCACTTGAGGTCAGGAGTTGGAGCAGCCTGGCTAACATGGTGAAACCTCGTCTCTACTAAAAGTACAAAAATTAGCTGGGCCATTGTGCGGGACGTCTGTAATCCCAGCTGCTCAGGAGGCTGAGGCGGGAGAATCACTTGAACCTGGGAGGCGGAGGTTGCAGCGAGCCGAGATCATGCCACTGCACTCCAGCCTGGGTGACAGAGCGAGAGACCCTGTATCAAAACAAACAAAGAAACAGCAACAACAACAAAAATTAGCCTCGGGTGGTAGCATGCATCTGTGATTCTCAGCTACTTGGGAGGCTGAGGTTGAAGGATTGCTTGAGCCCAGGAGATCAGGGCTGCAGTGAGCTATGATTATACCACTGCACTCCAGCCTGCATGACAGACCAAGACCTTGTCTCAAAAATAAGATAAAAATAAGAATATTTTCAAATGTTTGCCAATCTGATGGGTGAAAAAATGCAAATTCATTGTTTTCACTAGAGTTTCCCTGAATAGTGGTGAGGCTGCGTATCTTTGGTATTTGGAAATGTCTACGATATTTGTCCACTTTTCAAAAGGCTCATTTGTTTTGTTTGTTTGTAAGTTAGATTTTTTCCTAATTGTATGCATATTCTTTTTTTGTTATATTTATTGCAAATATTTTCTCCTACTCCATTGGTCTTTTTGCTTTATGTAGGTACATCTGGAAGTTGTTTTCTTCATAGCTCCCAAGGTATGAAAATATTCTCCTACAGTTTTGCTGTTGTTTTTTTTTTCCTTTGGAGAAAACCATTTTTATTATCATCACCACCCAGCTTATTTGTGCTGGATTATGTACCAGTGGCAAGATCTTCTAACGAACATCTGCATAACATTTATTTTATGTTTTAAAAGATGAAAATAACTGTACAAGGTTAAGTACAAAAGTACACAAGATAACAGACACAAAAAAATGCATGTATGAGATTTCATTCTACCTACAGCACTTTATGTTCAAAAAGTAGAATTCACGAACCAAAAAATATTGTCCTTCTATAGTCCTGTCAGGTTTAGTGAAAGCGAGTCTAACATGATTACAACACCTATATCACTGATCTGATATTTATGAAAAAAATCTTATTTTTCAATAAATTAAAGCCAATGCAAATGGGAATAGCATTTCAGTTTTTTGGTGTTTTTCTTTTTTTTAATTTTTTTTATTTTGAGACAGAGTCTCACTCTGTTGCCCAGACTGGAGTACAGTGGCATGATCTTGGTTCACCGTGACCTCCACCTCTCAGGTTCAAGCAATTCTTGTGCCTCAGCCACCTGAGTAGCTGGGGGTTTTCACCATGTTGCTCAGGCTGGTCTTAAACTCCTGGCCTCAAGTGATCCACCTGCCTCGCCCTCCCAAAGTGCTGGGATTACAGGCATGAGCCACCGCGCCCGGCCATGTTTCAGGTTTATAAAATAGAGATATGAACATGGATGGTGGTGATGGTTGCACATTATGAACGTTATCGAATGCTACTGAATTGTACACTTAAAAAATGGCTATGATGGTAAATTTTATGTTACGTGTATTTTACCACAGCTTAAAAAAAGAGAGAGGAAGAAAAGCCAGTGCAACACCCTACAAACTGGAACACTAGCTCTTTGGGAACAAGGACCTGACATCAGAACAAGAAGGCTATAAGTTCCCAAACCTTAAAAGTATGATCTTTTTCAAACTGCATCCATTTCTCACGTTGAAGATGTGAAACCCAATCCCGTTCCTCTTTATGTGTGGGTCTGTGATCTTGCCTTTTCATACTGAGCATCTAAATTTCTAAATACAGTACTTCCTATTGCTTCAAAGTCTTCTAACTTTCTTCATCAAGTGAGCTACATCTAGCTTCATCTTCACTCTTAATACCCACTAATTTCCATATATATGACATTTTGGTCCTTGTTTCCCAAAGTCATAGTTCAGCAGACGGGGAGTTTGCCCAGTTTTTCTTGCCTTGACTTTTTTCCTCTTGTTCAGCAAATTTCACTGGATTTCCAGCTGCTGTGTCATAATCCCTAGGTACAGCTGTTCTGTCTCTGCCAAAGCTGTTGCTTGCAGGGCTCCCATTTGAGCTGCCATAGCTATCTGAGTTACTGGCATTCCTGATGCCAACAGGGCAGCAACATTGAGAACAAAATCTCTAGTAACTGGAGCTATTTCTTGTTTTTGTTTTTCAATGATTTCTTTTTCTTTTAAAAAATTTTTTCCCAACACCCATCCCAACTATTTCTTTTTCTTGCTGTTCTTGTAATTTCTTTGCCTAGTCCATCCTCCCAGCTAAAGCTTCTTATGCATCCTTTGCTGTGCCTCTGCCTCTGAAGAGAGATGAACTGGAAATCTGGCTTAAACTTCTGCTAAATCTTAGTTTCTCAATGCTCTTCTTTCTCTCTTGTCTTCTGCTTCCTGTACTACTTCTGCTTCTTTCCTATGCATGTCATATTTATTTATTTACTTATTTTTCACACGCAACACAGATGTAGTTTTTATCTTGAACAGGAGCAAGATCTGATCCATGGTTTTCTTTCTTTCTTTTTTTTTTCTTTCCTTTTTGGAGACGGCGTCTCACTCTGTTGGCCAGGCTGGAGTGCAGTGGTGTGACCTCAGCTCACTGAAACCTCCACCTCCTGGGTTCAAGTGATTCTCCTGCCTCAGCCTCCCAAGTAGCTGGGACCTCAGACATGCATCACCACGCCTGGCTAATTTTTGCATTTTTAGTAGAGACAGGGTTTTGCCATGTTGGCCAGGTTGGTCTCAAACTCCTGAATCTCAGGTGATCTGCCTGACTTGGCCTCCCAAAGTGCTGGGATTACAGGTGTGAAGCACCATGTCCAGCCCATGGTTTTCTTTTCCTGCTTCTAGATCATGATCGTTCTTCTCTCTGCTTCTGGATTGAGACTACTTCTTTTCCCTCTACTACGATGATGCCTTTCACGAGACCTGTATCTTGAGTGACTTCTGCTTCTTGATGGCTTTCTTTGTGTTTGTGTCTGTCCTCATCATTTTCAGATGAATGTATTTATTTATTGAGACAGCATGTCACTCTGTTGCCCAGGCTGGAGTGCAGTGGCACAATCACAGCTCACTGTAACCTCTGTCTCCCCGGCTCAAGCTTCTCACCACAGCCTCCCGAGTAGCTGGAATCACAGGCACACACCACCACGCCTGGCTAACTTTTGTGTTTTTTATAGAGACAGGGCTTTGCCATGTTGCTCAAGCTGGTCTCAAACTTGTGAGCCCAAGCAATTTGCCCACCTTGGCCTTCCGAAGTACTGAGACTACAGACGTGAGTCACTGCGCCCAGCCCATTTTCAGATGAATTTAGTCCCTCTCTTCCTTTATCAGAATAATGTTCTTTGTCATTATGCTCCTCAGAAGTGTATTTCTTAGAGGATTTGTTGTAGGATTCCTGTCTTCTTGCCTCATCATGAAATAGGCTTATTATTTTCCTACCTGAGTCTGCAATGTCTTCAGTTCAGCCTCTTTGCCCATCAGCATGCGCTTTGTGTTTTCGTCCTTCGTTTTCTTTCTTGTTTTCTTTCTCTTGACCTTGATTGTGATCTTGAATAATATTTTGAGTAAGAAAAACAGATGCATCTGACAGTTCTTTTTCCACCCACTATCTGGGGATGTCTTTTTCTGGGGCTAGTCCATCTTGTCCTGGATAACTACCCTATCTTGAGAACCCAGTCTTAGTTTCATGAAACATCTTTAATGAAAACAGCCTTTTGGGATGGTGCTGCTGCAAACTGTGGTCTGGCTCTCCTCGCATGTGCTCTGGCTGCCGCAGAACAGAGCTCAGGCCGCTAGGGGGCACCTCCACGTGCCGCTTTTAGCAGTACCAGCCACCTCAAAGCTTTGCCACAGACTGAATAGCTCCTTCCGGGGGCCTGGATGGCACCCAGGGGATCTGCCGTTGCTTTTTTAATTTATTTTTTTACATTTAGCTCATTAATATCTGTTAGATATTTTTATGTCTGCATTGAAATATGTAACTTTATTTTTCCCCCAAAGGATAACTGTTCCAACATTATCAGTTAGCTTGTCTTTTCCCCACCAACTTAAAATACGACTCTTATTTTTAAAATTGCATTTTATAAACATGTATGTTTCAGTAATTTATATTCTGCCCCACTGATCTATATTCCCATCTTAGAATTATACTTTTATTTTATTTTTAAAATTTATTTAGAGACAAGGTCTTGGTATGTCACTCAGGCTGGAATGCAGTGGTGCAATGATAATTCACTGCAACCTTGAATTCCTGGGCTCAAGCAATCCTCCCACCTCAGCCTTCCAAGTAGCTGGGACTACAGGTGTGTGCCACTATGCCTGGCTAATTTTTTTATTTTTATTTTTTTGTGGAGACGATGTTTTGCTATGTTGCCCAGGCTGGTCTCAAACTCCTGGGCTCGAGGGATCTTCCTGTCTTGGCTGCCCAAAGTGTTGGGATTATAGGCATGAGCCACCTCACCCAGCCTTAGTATTATACTATTTTAGTTAACAAAGCTTTACAATGAATTTTGATACCTAGAAAGACTGCACCCAGGTGAAATAAACAGCCTTGTTTCTCACACAAAGCCTGTTTGGTGGTCTCTTCACATGGACACGTGAGACAGATTTCGCTAGGGAAGCAAATAACCATGGAGGTGGGCAAGAAATATCCATGATTGTAGAGCTTTCAATCAGCCTTTTATTCTTGTAACAAATGAAAAACAAAGGATTATCAGACATCTGCGGAAAACCTCTAACATAGAAGAAGGAGATAAAATGAACAAACAATAAAAAGCAACTTAAAAATGGACACCATATAAAGAAAGGAAAACAGTTTAAAAAAAAAAAAAACCCAAAACCCTATTCTTAAGCTACAGAGAAAGCCTGGCCAACATGGTGAAACCCTATCTCTACTAAAAATACGAAGTATTTTAGCCAGGCATGGTGGCACATACCTGTAGTCCCAGCTGCTCAGGAGGCTGAGGCAGGAGAATCACCTGCACCCGGGAGGCTGAGGCTGCAGTGTTCTGAGATCACACCACAGCACTCCAGCCTGGGTGACAGAGTGAGACCTTGTCTCAAAAAAAAAAAAAAAAAAAAAAGCCACAGAGAAATAAGACATTTATTTTAAATAATAATAAGACCCATTTATTAATTAGAAATAAAATAAGACCCATTTATGTCTTATTGCTAAATGGGTGCTAAACAAAAACACTCACAGCCTTGTTGCTCACACAAAATGAACAAAATGGTCTCTTAGAAATAAAAAATGAGAGGAAATGGAAACAAACAAAAACCCACTTCAACTGAAGTATTAGAAAATCAAGTTAATCAATTGTCTCAGAATGGGCAGAGATGGAAAATGGGAGAGAAAAGATGAGAAAATAAGACAGAGGCCGGGCACAGTGGCTCACGTCTGTAACCCCAGCACTTTGGTAGGCCAAGACAGGGGGATCACTTAAGGTCAGGAATTGGATATCAGCCTGGCCAACATGGTGAAACCTCGTCTCTACTAAAAATACAAAAATTAGCCAGGCGTGGTGGTGCATGCCTGTAATCCCAGCTACTCAGGAGGCTGAGGCAGGAGAATTGCTTGAACCCAGGAGGCAGAGGCTGCAGTGAGCCAAGATCGTGGCACTGCACTTCAGCGTGGACAACAGAGCGAGAGTCTGTCTCAAAAAAAAAAAAAAAAGAAGACAGACAGAGGTCCAATACTTGAATATAAGCAGCTCCAAAAAGATTGATTAGGAATGTGGAAAGGAGGGAATTCTCAACAAAATAATTCGATAAAATTTCCCAGAACTGAAGGACTTGAACTGCAGGATTATAAGGGCTTACCAAGTACCCAGCATAGTGATTGAGAAATAGACCCATTTAACTATGTGTCCTTATAGTGAAATATTCTGGCACTGTTAAAAATGTAAAGATTTATGAATGGCACTAATATGAAATTATTGTATGTGGTTTTTGGCATACATGTATATATCTGTTAGATATGTTATCTGGGAGTAGAATTCCTAGATCATAGAGCATGCATACATAATGTCATAGTTTTCCAAAATGGTTGGTATCTGGCAAAATACAGTGCACTGGTTACCAGTCTCAAGAAAGGAATCTAAATGCTCTTGCCCATTGCATCTTGGTATCAGAGTCGGCAAGGAAAAAGTGCAAACACTGGATAAAGCTTTACTTACATAGAGAAGAGACAGAGCAGGATCAGCTCCAATAGTGTGCGTTGGTTCCTCATGGCAAGTGGGTCTGTCTCCCCAGCAGCCGCTGCAGGGTGGTTTGCCTATGAGCACCCATCTTGTGCTACAGTGGAACGGTGTGCCTGGTCTCTGTCACTTGCTGGCCTCAAGTAAGACCCATTTTCATGCAGTGCCGAACAATTCATGACACTGCTGACAATGAGATTGTTTAAATGAGGTCATTGTCTGAGAGAAATTAAACAGTTATAGATAGATACCTAGGTTGTAGTTACATGGTGTGTTCATTCTGAAAATTCATTAAACTGTGCCCTTGTCATTTGTACACTTTTCTGTTATGTTTTATTAAAAGTTAAAAGGTTCTATAGAGAAGTAAGCTCAGGGCTTTTAAAAAAAAATTTTAAGTTGTAAACACGTCAATTAAATTTATTCATAGGAAGGTATTTTGTAGGCTAAATAACTGACCAAAAAAATTAAAAAGGGAAGATGTTTTGAAGTTAATTTTGGCTGAAATTAAAACACAGCTATGTTAACCCTGTAATAATGAAAAATTTTTTGTACATGTATTCATTGAGGACATAGTATTGTAAGTAGTTGGTTTTTTTAATTTGTTATTCTTTTATGTAATTTTTTTTCTTTTTTCTTTTTTTTTTTTTGAGAGACTCTCACTCTGTCACTCAGGCTGGAGTGCAGTGGTGCGATCTCTGCTTATGGCAACCTCCACCTCAAATGATTCTCATTCAAGCTATTCTCGTGCCTCAGCCTCCCAAGTAGCTGGGACTATAACAGGCTCGTGTCGCCACACCCAGATAATTTTTGTATTTTTAGTAGAGATGGGTTTTCGTCTTGTTAGCAAGGCTGGTCGTGAGCTCTTGGCCTCAAGTGATCCTCCTGCCTTGGGCTCTCAAAGTGCTGAGATTGTAAGTATGAGCCACCATGCCCTACCATAAATTAGCATCTTATAAAGGGGGAAAGAGCCACATGTGTCTGCTGGTTGTGTTGCTATGCTGAAAACAAGGTTTTCCTGTCCTAGATTATTCCCTCTAAATCGAGATAAGTAGGGTGATCAGCTAATGCTGGAGACAAAAGGTAGGTGTTTTAATTTTTGAGATTTATCATAAAGTAAATAGTATTGTGACAGCCCCTTTTACTTTCAGATGTGACATTGATAAAGCTGTGAATGTGTTCCTATTTCTCTTCTTTATCTATTTCTCCTTGTTTTCTAGGTTTTTGTGGAAACTCTGGATAAGTGTTTCGAAAATGTGTGTGAATTGGATTTGATCTTCCATATGGATAAGGTATATTCTCTTGCAGTTCTCTTCCAAACTAGGGTTACTAGAAAACCAAGAGCCTTGGGCATCTGTAGCCACCTCTACATCTTCATATTGTTTCTTGTTTTTTTTTACTCTTAAGATAGTCCTAGAACATGTTTTATTTAATAGATTTAATAGTTTGGGTTTTGTTTTGTTTTTGCTAAGATCTACTAACAGTTTTAACGTGCATAAGATTATTACTAGGCCTATATCGTGGTTCATCTGTTCACAGACTGATTTCTTGATATAGGAGAATGATGTCACTGGCTACTTGGCCAAAGGTGAGATAAATAGTTTTATGCTGATTATAAAATTAGTTTCCTAGTCATAGGCCAGTGACAATGAAACTTTGGAATAATCATGACGCAGGGGCTTTGACTTAGATAGTAAAATTTATATCTTTCCTAAAGAGTAATATAGTGACTAAGAGATCTGTAATGTAATTCAAGGTCAGGTGATATTCTATAGGAAGGTAGACTATCAGAGGCAGAATTAAAATGGCCCCAAGTAGGTGTTCTCAGATTTGTTTTGCTAGGATAACTGTGACATGGCCTATGTCCTCATATGCCAAATTAAACTTGGGCAATAGCCAGCAAGGGAATAGGAATTGCCATGTTTATTTTATTCAACTTACCACATGCTGTCCCCTGTGCAGTTTACTGGTGCGTCTTTGGTTTGCTTGGTCCTGGTTTTTCTTCAACTGATTGTTGTCATTATGATCCCTGGCCCTTGGAGAGAGATGATTTTTTAGGAGACTGCTGCTCATTGCTAAGCCATGATCCTTTATTAACCTTTTCATCATGATGAAGTAGGAGTTTTTAGATCCATCGTTGCTAGCATTGCTGTCTAAAGGACTTTCTTGTTGTTTTTCAATAGGGTCTTCAGTCTTAGTTGACTCTGTTGAGGTTGGCAGATCCCCACTTTCCAGGCTAATGTAGTGAATGCATTCTTGAGTTTGGATGACATTAGAATGGAGTAAAGTTTTGTCTCTCACCATCTGACATGGCTCTGTGACTCTATCAGCATCCTAGTGCAGGAACATCATGGAACCCTTTTCCTTCTTTAGATACTTAACTTTGGACTCCCTGACAACCTCACGGGGCTTCCAGTATTTACTGATGCTTTTGAGTCACCCTCCCTTTCATATGAAAGGGTTGTATACTTTTTGGAAACTTCAGCGATCTCTTAGCACCCTTTCTTTGCAAGCACTTAGAGTTGTTTTGTACTTTTCATATGTTAAAGATTTGCTATTTTGCAACTTCTGTCAAGGAGAGCCATAGCTCAAATCTAGTTCCCTTTTGTACTAGAGGAACTAGAGTCCCTTTCAAGTATTAAAGAGACTTGAAAATATAGGGGGAATGGAGAGGTGCCTTCTGTAGGCCTTATTGTTATGATTTTAAAATAATATTGTTAAATACAGGCCGGGCGTCGTGGCTCACACCTGTAATCCCAGCACTTTGGGAGGCTGAGGTGGGCAGATCACTTCAGGTCAGGAGTTTAAGACCAGCCTGGCCAACATGGCAAAACCTTGTCTCTACTAAAAGTACAAAAATTAGCCAGGCGTGATGGTGCACGCTTGTAATCCCAGCTATTCAGGAGAATCGCTTGAACCCGGGAGGCGGAGGTTGCAGTGAGCCGAGGTCGCGCCACTGCTCTCCAGCCTGGGCAACAGAGCGAGACTGTGTCTCAAAAAAAAAAAAACAACCAAATTGTTAAATACAAGGTGTTACTTTCGAAGTTACCACCTAGTGTGCAAAGTGGGTTCTTTGAAGATGCCACCTGTTGCTCACCAGGCTGCAAATGAATTTCTTAACATCTCAGGTGTAGATTCAGGGATTCAAGGATAGATTTTACTAGGAAAGGGGGAGTTTTCTTTTTTTTTTTTTTTTTTTATTGATAATTCTTGGGTGTTTCTCACAGAGGGGGATTTGGCAGGGTCATGGGACAATAGTGGAGGGAAGGTCAGCAGATAAACAAGTGAACAAAGGTCTCTGGTTTTCCTAGGCAGAGGACCCTGCGGCCTTCCGCAGTGTTTGTGTCCCTGATTACTTGAGATTAGGGATTGGTGATGACTCTTAACGCGCATGCTGCCTTCAAGCATCTGTTTAACAAAGCACATCTTGCACCGCCCTTAATCCATTTAACCCTGAGTGGACACAGCACATGTTTCAGAGAGCACAGGGTTGGGGGTAAGGTCACAGATCAACAGGATCCCAAGGCAGAAGAATTTTTCTTAGTGCAGAACAAAATGAAAAGTCTCCCATGTCTACTTCTTTCTACACAGACACGGCAACCATCCGATTTCTCAATCTTTTCCCCACCTTTCCCGCCTTTCTGTTCCACAAAGCCGCCATTGTCATCCTGACCCGTTCTCAATGAGCTGTTGGGCACACCTCCCAGACGGGGTGGTGGCCGGGCAGAGGGGCTCCTCACTTCCCAGTAGGGGCGGCCAGGCAGAGGCGCCCCTCACCTCCCGGACGGGGCGGCTGGCCGGGCAGGGGGCTGACCCCCCCACCTCCCTCCCGGACGGGGCGGCTGGCCGGGCAGAGGGGCTCCTCACTTCCCAGTAGGGGCGGCCGGGCAGAGGCGCCCCTCACCTCCCGGACGGGGCAGCTGGCCGGGCAGGGGGCTGACCCCCCCACCTCCCTCCCGGACGGGGCGGCTGGCCGGGCAGAGGGGCTCCTCACTTCCCAGTAGGGGCGGCCGGGCAGAGGCGCCCCTCACCTCCCAGACGGGGCGGCTGGCCGGGCGGAGGGCTGACCCCCCCACCTCCCTCCCGGACCGGGCGGCTGGCCGGGCAGAGGGGCTCCTCACTTCCCAGTAGGGGCGGCCGGGCAGAGGCGCCCCTCACCTCCCAGACGGGGCGGCTGGCCGGGTGGAGGGCTGACCCCCCCACCTCCCTCCCGGACGGGGCGGCTGGCCGGGCGGGGGGCTGACCCCCCCACCTCCCTCCCGGACCGGGCGGCTGGCCGGGCAGAGGGGCTCCTCACTTCCCAGTAGGGGTGGCCGGGCAGAGGCGCCCCTCACCTCCCAGACGGGGCGGCTGGCCGGGCGGAGGGCTGACCCCCCCACCTCCCTCCCGGACAGGGCGGCTGGCCGGGCGGGGGGCTGACCCCTCCACCTCCCTCCCGGACGGGGCGGCTGGCCGGGCAGAGGGGCTCCTCACTTCCCAGTAGGGGCGGCCGGGCAGAGGCGCCCCTCACCTCCCAGACGGGGCGGCTGGCCGGGCGGAGGGCTGACCCCCCCACCTCCCTCCCGGACGGGGCAGCTGGCCAGGCGGGGGGCTGACCCCCCCACCTCCCTCCCGGACGGGGCGGCTGGCCGGGTGGGGGGGCTGACCCCCCCATCTCCCTCCCGGACGGGGTGGCTGGCCAGGCTGAGGGGCTCCTCACTTCCCAGTAGGGGCGGCCGGGCAGAGGCGCCCCTCACCTCCTGGACGGGGCGGCTGGCCGGGCGGGGGGCTGACCCCCCCACCTCCCTCCCGGATGGCACGGCTGGCCGGATGGGGCGGCTGGCCGGGTGGGGGGCTGACCCCCCCCACCTCCCTCCCGGACGGGGTGGCTGCCGGGCGGAGCCGCTCCTCACTTCCCAGATGGGGTGGCTGCCGGGCGGAGAGGCTCCTCACTTCTCAGACGGGGCAGCTGCCGGGCGGAGGGGCTCCTCACTTCTCATACGGGGTGGTTGCCAGGCAGAGGGTCTCCTCACTTCTCAGACAGGGCGGCCGGGCAGAGACGCTCCTTACCTCCCAGACGGGGTCTCGGCCGGGCAGAGGCGCTCCTCACAACCCAGATGGGGCGGCGGGGCAGAGGCGCTCCCCACATCTCAGACGATGGGCGGCCGGGCAGAGACGCTCCTCACTTCCTAGATGTGATGGCGGCTGGGAAGAGGCGCTCCTCACTTCCTAGATGGGATGGCGGCCGGGCGCAGACGCTCCTCACTTTCCAGACTGGGCAGCCAGGCAGAGGGGCTCCTCACATCCCAGACGATGGGCGGCCAGGCAGAGACACTCCTCACTTCCCAGACCGGGTGGCGGCCGGGCAGAGGCTGCAATCTCGGCACTTTGGGAGGCCAAGGCAGGCGGCTGGGAGGTGTAGGTTGTAGTGAGCTGAGATCACGCCACTGCACTCCAGCCTGGGCACCATTGAGCACTGAGTGAACGAGACTCCGTCTGCAATCCCGGCACCTCGGGAGGCCAAGGCTGGCGGATCACTCGCGGTTAGGGGCTGGAGACCGGCCCGGCCAACACAGCGAAACCCCGTCTCCACCAAAACCAGTCAGGCGTGGCGGCGCGTGCCTGCAATCGCAGGCACTCGGCAGGCTGAGGCAGGAGAATCAGGCAGGGAGGTTGCAGTGAGCCGAGATGGCAGTAGTACAGTCCAGCTTCGGCTCCGCATGAGAGGGAGACCGTGGGGAGAGGGAGAGGGAGAGGGAGAGGGGGAGGGGGAGGGGTAGGGGGAGAGGGAGAGGGAGAGGGAGAGGGGAAAAGGGGGAGTTTTCAAAGCAAGAGAAGAGCCCATGGAGAGGTGTATTGAGGTGTCTCTGCTGGAATGACTCCCATCACCCACCTCCTCCAATGCTGTCTTTTTTATCAGGCACCTGTGAGAGTAGCTTTGCTAGTGGAGAGATAGGCAGAATGCTTAGACACCACGAAATCTGTATTTGTGTGCCAGCTGCTTATAGATGTTGTCTAGGGGCCGGGTGCGGTGGCTAACGCCTATAATCCCAGCACTTTGGGAGGCCTGAGGTCGGGAGTTCGAGACCAGCCTAACCAACATGGAGAAACCCCGTCTCTACTAAAAATGCAAAATTAGCTGGGCTTGGTGGTGCATGCCTATAATTCCAGCTACTCAGGAGGCTGAGACAGGAGAATCACTTGAACCCAGGAGGCAGAGGTTGCAGGGAGCCGAGATCATGCCATTGCACTTCAGCCTGGGCAACAAGAGCAAAACTCCATTTCAAAAAAAAAAAAAAAGGAAGTTGTCTGGGAATGCCAGCTGCCCAACACCTGGAAACTTAGGGACCTGTGGGATAATACACACCTGGAGAAGACAGCTGTAGGTGCTGTGGGAAGTTGTGCTTGGGTGCAGCCCCTCTCACTGGGAGAAGGGGTAGCCTCCCAACCCCCTAGTCTAAGCTAGTTCATTGTCTAGGCAACGTGGAGTATACCTCCATGGTGACTTTTTTTTTTTTTTTTTTTTGAGACGGAGTCTCGCTCTGTTGCCCAGGCTGGAGTGCAGTTGTGTGATCTCGGCTCACTGCAACCTCTGCTTCCCGTGTTCAAGTGATTCTCCTGTCTCAGCCTCCGGAGTAGCTGGGACTACAGGTGCCTGCCACCATGCCCGGCTAATTTTTGTATTTTTAGTAGAGACAGGGTTTCATCATATCTGTCAGGCTGGTCTCCAACTCCTGACCTCAGGTGATCCACCCACCTCAGTCTCCCAAAGTGCTGGAATTACAGGCGTGAGTGAGCCACCGCGCCCAGCCTCCAAGGTGACTTTGAAAGTCAACATTTGTTGTTTTGTGTTTTACCTTCTTTGCTCCGTGTTATTTGTAAGAATCACCCATTTTGTTACATGTGGCCTTAGGAAGTTTAATTTCATTGCTGCATAGGATTTCATTATATGAATTTATCCATTCTATGACTGATGGAATTAGATTGTTTTGAGTTTGGAGCTTTTATGAAATATGTTGTCATGAATATTCTTGAAAATGGATGCTATTGTACATTTTTGTACATTTTCTTGAAACATCTATTTCTCTTAACAGTGCAATTCCTGGGTCATAGGTGAGGCCTCTAGAAGGAAGAAACAGGCCTCTAGAAGGAAGCACAAAAGCACCAGCAGGGCTGCAGCACTGGCAAAAGAAGTCTGAGGCTCAAGGCCTCTGGACTGTAGACCATAGTATCTGCCACTTTGTTAGATAATGCCAGAGTGATTGTATCCATTTATACTTCTACCAATCGGGGGTGAGTGTTCCCAGTGCTCTGTATGCTCACCAAAGGTTTATATTCTCAGTGTGGTAATCATTAGAACTGTTAACTAAATATTTACAGTTCTTTCCCCTTCGAGAAACATGGTAAAATTATACTAATATGCCTTCCTGAAGTTAGGTGTAGCCATGTGACTTGCTTTAGCTAATGAAGTGTGAGTGGAAGTGCCATGTGTCACTTCTAGGCAAAACTTAGGAGCCAGTGCTAATATATATAATAATGGAATATATATATATATATTCCATTTGTGGAAGCATGGACACACAGCCTTCCAGGGCCTGGGTCCCTAACTGAGGATGAGGTAGAGCAGTGCTCCCCAGTGGACGCACAGTGGATGTGTGCATAGTATGAGAGAAATAAACTTGTTACTTTAAGCCATGAAATGTTAAAATTGTTACTGTGACTTAACCAAGCCTGTCCTGACTGATGGATATAGAACTTAATTTTTATCCAGCTAGTAGGTATGTACTGGCATTTCATTGTCATTCCAATTGCATTTCTTATGAAGATGAGCATCTTTTCTTGTTTATTGCCTATTAGGAGGTCCTCTCTAGTGAAATGTTTATTCAGGGCCTTTGTTCTTTCTTCTGTGAGGTTGTCTGCCTGTGATTTAAAAACGTATTTGTAAGGACCGGGCACAGTGGCTAATGCCTATAATCCCAGCACTTTGGGAGGCTGAGGCGAGTGGGTCAACTTAGGTCAGGAGTTTGAGAACAGCCTGGACAACATGGTGAAACCTTGTCTCTACTAAAAATACAAAAATTAGCTGGGCGTGGTGGTGTGCCTGTAGTCCCAGCTACTTGAGAGGCTGAGGCAGGAGAATCACTTGAACCCGGCAGCCGAGATCACACCACTGCCCTCCAACCTGGGTGACAGAGCGAGACTCCGTCTCAAAAAAAAAAAATGTGTTGGTAGAAGTTGTATTGAATAGAAGTAGTGACAGTGGGCATCTGCTCTGATTCCTGGTTTCAAAGGGAAGCTTTCATCCTGTCACCATGAAGTAGAGTATTTGCTATAGGTTTTTTTGGTAAAGATTGTCAGGTTAAGGATGTTTCTTCCTTTCTCTTCCTACTAAGGATTTTTAATCATAAAAGGATGTTAAAATTTATCAAAAGCTTTTTTTCCAGTTCCTGAGGTAATCATGATTTTTTTGCATCATCATTCTAATACTGTTTTGTAAACATCTGTAAGGATGCCTGCTAAAGCAGTAAAGTAATTCCAGTTCCAGCCATTTTATTGGATGTGGCTTTTAGAAGGAAATAAAAGGCCATAAAAATGTTGTTCTTCCTCATATGTCTTATCTTCAGATAAGTTCCATAAAGTATTTTGCTGCCACTGCAAATTTTTTTTACAGTTTATGAAACTATGTATTTTTGTTGTTCATGCAGTATTAGGAAATAACTGTTCATATCTCCTGAGATTTTTGAAAACAAGTGATGCAAGGAATCAGAATCCTACCCTATTCAGCTTTAGAATGTCTGAGGCTTCCAATAGGTGGCTTCCTTTTCATAGGATTTCAAGCTTATCTTTGCCCTCATAGAGAGCAGTTGCTAATTCAAGTATAGCTTCTTCTGTTGATAATAGAAAATGATCTTTTTACTAAGATAGGCAAAAGCCTTGTCCTAAGACAATAGGAACATCACCTTGAACTCTGTTCTTTTTAACTAAAGAATCTCTTCACCTTGAGGTCAGAAACTCTCATCAGTTCCTAGGTCTTTAAGATCTTCATTAGATAGTCATGGATAGATGCCCCATCACCTTAAGCAGATGTGGCCGGAGTAGTAGGCCTGTGTAAAGACCAGCTATGACTGAATTCCTTGGCTCTGCCAAGTTGTTTATTCCTAATCTTGTGATTTCTTGTTTAACCTCCTAAGTTGTTTTTGTATACTCTTTTTATCACTGCTTCTCTCTTTTTCACCTCCTCTCTCTCCTTTTCTTCCTGTGTTAAAGGAGGGTTTATTTCATTCCATTTCTAGAGCCAAGTTATCTTTCTGTCTCTCCCCGACACACACCATAATGTCACTTCTTGCACTGGTCTCTAAGGTGTCCTTAGTGTTTGTTCTTCTGTGTCTACACAGAATGCCCTGGTCTCGGAGTGAATACAGCCCTTCCCATGGCTCTACTGCCCCACTAACTGTAGTTCCATTTCCATTGTTCTCATGCAAGGTGAACTTGAATTCGTGGGTGATTTACGCCCAGTCTTTAATTCTACTTTCTCTGTTCTCTTTCTAGAGTCCCATAGCCTGGTTTTCAGTCCTACCCAGAATTCACTGATGATTTCCCAATTTTCAAATCCTGTGGCCGTTTCCTAGTCATCACCTTTTTTATTGTTTCTGTGGTATCTGATACTGTTAACCCTTCAGTGGAGCACTCTCTTAATCTTTTTCCACCTTTCTTTCTGTCATATAGAACCCTGCTGATTTCTTTCCTATTCTTTTCCCACTCTATCAGGAAGTTATGTTGTCAGTCATCTCTCACCTCTCTCTTCTCCCTCTCATATTTCTAGCATAAATCTCATCCATATTTCATGTTCTAGGTCTTGAAGCAAAACTTGGGTATTTAAAAAAAAATTTTCATGCTCACACTATTATCTATGTAGGTAATTCCCAAATGGGTAATTCTAGTCTTGATGTATGGCTCGAGTCCTATTCCTGTATTTCCAACAGCCTGAAGGCATTTCTCCCTAATGTCATTCTCACATCTAAATTTCTTCTTGCCACGTATCCAGAGCCAGCTTCAGCATATGTCTTCTGAAAACCATTTCTCCCTGCAGCTTCCCTTTTCCAGGAGTGTTACTACCATCCTCTGTCATCTACATTCAAAACCTTTTCTCCCTCTTCCTCGCTCCCAAGGTCCAGTCAATCACTAAATCTGTTGCTTTTTTCTGTAATGTCCTTCTTTATATCTTGTTCTTAGATTCACCAACTATTAACATTTGGCATACTTGCTTTTATGTCTATATACATATATACTTTTTTTCCTGAACGATTTTGAGAATTAGTTGCAGACATCATAACTTTTCATCCCTAAATATGTCAATAAATATCTCCTAAGAGCAAGGATATTCTTATATAATACATTGTATGTAATTCTCTAATGATGCACAACACAATTAACATAGTTGGGAAATTTAACATTAATAAATATTGTTTTCCAATATATAGTTCATATTTAAGTTTCCCAATTGTCCCAGAAATGTCCTTTAGATCTTTTTTTAAATCTCAGTTTCAGTTATGAGTCAAACATTGTCTTTAGTTGTCATGTCTCTTGATTGTTTCTGGCAGGTTTTCTAACCTTATTCTCTCTTCCTTCTTGTTGATCCCACATACTGAAATTAGTTTTTCTAATGTACTTCTTAGACTAGCCTTGACTCCTTGGCCGGACACATTCAAGGCTCTCCACAATTTGTGCCCATCCTATCCTGGCTTTACTTCCGTAACTACTGGCCAGACACTTTCTGCTCTAGCCACAGTGGACCACTCCTACTTATTTTGTAGTTCCTGCCTCAACTCTCTGCCTGAATTGTCTTTTCATGTACTAAATACTGCCTGTCATTCAAGTGCTGCTCAAATCCTACCACCCTAAAGCTTGCCCTCATGGTCTAGCCTATTGTGATCTCTTTGAACCAGGTATAGTATTATTTTTATCCTTCTGTGACCTTAATTTATGTACCTTTCTATGTTTTCCCTGCTTGGTTAGACTGCCTTATCTTTGTATTCCTCACTGAATCTAGTGTGGTACCTTTTACTGACTGGGGTAATCTTCAGGTGACTGTCACTAAAGAGTTCCCAGGACTCTAGTCTCATAAGGTTGCTCATGATTTAAACTGTTGGAGGCTGGAGTAAGGTCTGATTTCATAGTCTCTGGGGTAACCATCAGCTCTCCTGGCTGTGCCATTTAGAGCCTAGGGTACTTGGTTCCCTTTTGCTTTCAGAAATCCCTAAACACAGCTCAACATTATGACTGAGCTGGGTGTTGGTGTTAATTATGGTGAATTGAATTTTGTTCAAAGAAAACTGTGTGGGTGACCTAACATTCTGATCTACCAGTATCTAATAGCAAAGCTGGATTTAGAATTCAATTGGGCTTTCAAGATTTGGTCATCAGAGTCACAATTCAATGGCTATGTCAAGGGAATTTATCCAGCGCTTTATTTTTTTTTAAATAGATTTCAATTTGCAGTGGGCCCTCTCAAGAGAATTGAAACATATGCTTCTGAATGGTGCTGAACCCAAGAAAACCTCATAGTATGGAATTTTAAATCTCTGCTAAGCATAGGCTGCTAAAATGGAAAAATGCTGAGAGTTCAAAATTAACTCGTGAGCACTAAGATGAAAGGATCATAAACAGTAATATTGGGTTTTGTTTGCCAGATGTCCCTTCTGTGAACAGAGCTTGTGATAACAAAGCTCATTAATACCTGCCACACCCTGTGACGTTGAAGCAGATGTCCTGACTGCAGGTCTCCAGGAATGGAGGGACAAGTGAGGGACAGACAGTTTGTGTTTTTGATGATGAAAGAGGAGCTATTTGGTCTGGAAGAATAAGGTATTCTGTTTGAGTTTTAGTTCTTGTAAAAGGTGCGAGTTAACATACCTGACTATCCCTGGCTGCCTCTGTTTCTCTATCTGGATGTGCCTAAGAGAAGAAGAGAGCTGAGACCAGCCTTGTGTTCCATTGCATCTATAAAGCCCTTCTTTACTGATGCTTGATAGGTAAGAATTTTGTGGCAGAATTTTTTTTTTTGGCTTAAGTAATAAGGAAATTTATTATCTTACATACAGAAAGGCCAGTTGTAGGGCAGAGTTAAAGCGTGGTTAAGACAGACAGTTTTATCTGCAGTTTCACTTTCTGTAGTTCCAGTTATGCACAGTCAACCATGGTCCAAAAATATTAAATGGAAAATTCTAGAAATAAACAATACGTTTTAAATTGCATGCCATTCTGAGCAGCATGATGAAATGTTGCTCTGTCCTGCTCCAGGATGGGAATCATCCCCTCATCCATTGTATCCGTGCTGTGTACACTAGCTGCCCACTGCTTACTTAGTAGCCATCTTGACTGTCACAGTGTCACGGTGCTTGTGTTCAGGTAACCTTTATTTTACTTCATAATGGCCCCAAAGTGCAAGAGTAATGATGCTGGCATATTGTCATAATTGTTTTTATTATTAGTTATCGTTGTTAATCTCTTACTGTGCCTAATTTACAAATTAGACTTTATCCTAGGTATGTGTGTATAGGAAAAAATAACGCATCCACTGGGGGTCTTAGGACATATTCTAGGCAGGTAAGGGGGGACTACTGTACTTTCTGTATGTTATCTTCAATTCTTAGTGTTGGCTGTAGAATATTTTTTTCAGAGGCCAAAATCTTATTCCCTCAGGGTAACATAAAGACAGAGATCGGCTGGTCATGATGGCTCATGCCTGTAATCCCAGCACTTTGGGAGGGCCAAGGCGGACAGATCACGAGGTCAGGAGATCGAGACCAACCTGGCTAACACGGTGAAACCCTGTCTCTACTAAAAAATACAAAAAATTAGCTGGGCATGGTGGCAGGTGCCTGTAGTCCTAGCTACTCTGGAGGCTGAGGCAGGAGAATGGCATGAACCCTGGAGGCGGAGCTTGCAGTGAGCCGAGATCGCGCCACTGCACTCCAGCCTGGGTGACAGAGCGAGACTCCATCTCAGAAAAAAAAAAAAAAAAAGATCAGCAATAATGATTTCTTAAATTTCTAAAATCCCTGTAATTTGTTTAGAAAAAAAAAGAAAGAAGGGCTGGGCGCGGTGGCTCGAGCCTGTAATCTTAGCACTTTGGGAGGTCAAGGCGGGTGGCTCACCTGAGGTCAGGAGTTCGAGACCAGCCTGGCCAACGTGGTGAAACTCCGTCTCTACTAAAAATACAAAAATTACCCAGGCGTGGTGGCGTGCACCTTTAATCCCAGCTACACGGGAGACGTGAGGCAGGAGAATTGCTTGAACCTGGGAAGTGTAGGTTGCAGTGAGCCGAGGTCGCGCCACTGCACACCAGCCTGGGCGACAGAGCAGGACTCCATCTCAAAAAAAAAAAAGAAAGAAAGAAAAGGAAGGAAGGAAGGAAGGAAGGAAAGGAAGGAAAGAAGGAAGGAAGGAAAGGAAGGAAAAAGGAAGGAAGGAAAGGAAGGAAGGAAGAAAAAGAAAAGAAAAAAGGAAAGAAAGAAAAGAAAAAAAGGAAGGAAGGAGGGAAAAAGAAAGAAAGAAGGAAAGAAAGAAAGAGAAAGGAAGCAAGGAGAGAGGGAAGGAAGGAAGAAAGGAAGGAAGGAAGGACACTTGGGCTGGTTGTGGAGGCTCACGACGATAATCCCCAGCACTTTGGGAGGCTGAGGCGAGAGGATCACTTGAGCCCAGGAGTTTGAGAACAGCCTGAGCAATAAGTGAGACCCCATCTCTTTAAGTAAAAAAGAAAAAAAAAAAGAAAAAAACAAAAGCAAGGATTGTTCCAGACTATACTGAATATCTGCTGCCATATACACACTCGCTTTCCTTACTTGAACTTTGGATTGCCTCAGTGCACAATCTCATTGATTACCTGCTGCTTCAAGTTTGGTGTGTTAGTCATTCCTTATTACTGGTTAGTAGAATAACAGTGTACACAAAACAGCACAATTTGACCTTTAGAGATATTCATTTGATATGCAGCCGTTTTCAGTAAAACCTAGTGTTTGTCAAGGTTGTAGTCAGTAAACAAAGCTTATTACCCATGGTATTACTTGGATATGTTGCAGATAAAACGAATTGTATTTTGCTTTGGTTGCTGATTTATAGGCACCCTGAAAGGCTGGAATTGAGATTCAATTTTATTGTTCTTGCTATTATTCCTTATATTGCAGAAGAGGATTAGCCTACTCTAAGATAAGAAGTAGAGTTTCTCTTTCTTTCTTTCTTTCTTTCTTTCTTTCTTTCTTTCTCTCTCTCTCTCTCTCTCTCTCTCTCTCTCTTTCTTTCTTTCTTTCTTTCTTTCTTTCTTTCTTTCTTTTTCTTTCTTTTTTTGAGATGGAGTTTCGCTCTTGTTGCCCAGGTTGGAGTGCAATGACGTGATCTCGGCTCACTGCAACCTCCACCTCCTGGGTTCAAGCAATTCTCCTGCATCAGCCTCCTGCCTAGCTGGGATTATAGGCGTGCGCCACCACACCCGGCTAGTTTTGTATTTTTTTTTAGTAGAGACGGAGTTTCTCTATGTTGATCAGGCTGGTCTCAAACTCCCAACCTCAGGTGATCCGCCTGTCTCAGCCTCCCAAAGTGCTGGGATTGCAGGTGTGAGCCACCACACCCAGCAAAGCAGAATCTCTTGATTCCTAACTAAGAACCCTTTTCCAGGCTTGATTTTTGTATCAATCAAGGTAGGCTAGGTAATGCATTACTCCAAAATCCCAATGGCTTATGAGAGCAAGGTTTATTTTTTCACTCGTGCTATGTGGCCATTGTGGTGTGTCTGCTGACTGTAGTTCCTCTGAGGTCCAGGCTGATGGAAATCTCCTCAACATATGCTTCTACCTGGGCATGTGTGTGTTCCGGCTCTTGAAGTGACACATCCTCGTACACTCACATTTCAGTGATCAAAATCAGTCACATGCTCCCACCCAAGGGATGGGGAAATGATCCTATTATGTGCCCAAGAGGGAGGAGAACCTGAACTAGTTGAATATTACCAATGATGACCATGGTTTTTTCATGGATTTTCTTAGAGGAAAAGTTAATGTTTGATTTTTATTATCACTTTGTAGAAGGGAAGCTAGAAATTTTAGTAACAGAAAAATAGAGGAGTGCTCTAATAAGAAGAAAACATGGTTGAATCTTAGGAAAGGTATCCCACATGGCAGCTTTTCAGTTTCTCTGATTATTGGGCATTTATATCTTCTATACTTCCCAAATGAATTTAAGATGACTTAAAATAAAATTTCTTAACAGAATAAATGGTTTTTATATGTGGGAGGCGAGTGCCTCCCTCCTTAGAGGCTTTCTGCAAATCATTTGTCTTTACCTTGGCTCTCTGACCTTGATGAAGTACTGATGTCTGAGAGTGTTTTTGTCTTTTCTCTGATTACCAAACAACAATCATTTATTAAGCATTCATTAGGAAAAAGACACTGCGCTAAATATAGAGATACAAAGATATAAAACTCAAATTTTCTACCTGTAAGAAGCTCATAAACTAGGCACGGTGGCTCACACCTGTAATCCCAGCACTTTGGGAGGCCGAGGTGGATGGATCACTTGAGGTCAGGAGTTCAAGACCAGCCTGACCAACATGTTGAAACCCTGTCTCTCCTCCACCGTGCCCAGCCCCAGCCCAGTTTTTACTTTTGATGAAGCTTTCTCTAAACTTCGGTATTGTAGTTCTCCAAACTGTTTGTCTTCTTGCTCATGCTCTCAAGTTTTTAATTCTAACTGTTTCTAGTAGATTGTAAACGCCTTTGGAATAGTGTCAGTATGTAATACTTTGTTGGTTATCCAAACAATACAGGACAGTCAGAGTTGATTAGTTGATGTGAAATAGATATGTGTCCCAATTTTGTGGGTTTCTTTTTCTTTTCTTTTCTTTTCTTTTTTTTTTTTTTTAAGACAGAGTCTTACTCTGTTGCCCAGGCTGGAGTGCAGTGGCATGATCTTGGCTCACTGTAACCTCTGCCTCCCGGGTTTAAGCAATTCTCATGCCTCAGCCTCCTGAGTAGCTGGGACTACAGGTGCGCACCACCACGCCCAGCGAATATTTTTTTTTTTTTTTTTTTTGAGATGGAGTCTCACTCTGTCATCCAGGCTGGAGTGCAGTGGTGTGATCTTGGCTCACTGCAATCTCTGCCTCCTGGATTCAAGCAATTCTCCTGCCTCAGCCTTCCGAGTAGCTGGGATTACAGGTGCGCACCACCATGCCTGGCTAATTTTTTGTATTTTTTTAGTAGAGACGGGGTTGCACCATCTTGGCCAGGCTAGTCTTGAACTTCTGACCTCATGCTCTGTCCACCTCGGCCTCCCAAAGTGCTGGGATTACAGGCGTGAGCCACCACGCCCAGCCCTAATTTTTGTATTTTTTAGTAGAGACAGGGTTTCGCCATGTTGGCCAACCTGGTCTCAAATTCCTGACCTCGAGTGATCCATCCTCCTCAGCCTCCCAAAGTGCTAGGATTACAGGCGTGAGCCACTGCACCCAGCCAAGGCCCATTTTTTAAAACCAAATTCTAATTAGACCTTGCCTTTGAAGGTTATGACTTGTGCATACTGGCTAGTTTCGGGGTGGGCTCACTTTTCACTTTGCCTTTGCTCCCTTGGGAGATAACCTCTGGGTGCACTCAGGAGGAACTAGGAACCCTGTGTTCCTCAAGTGGGATTCTGCATGAATTGCCTTTGTGGGCTTCTGACTCTACCAGATTCTAACTGTGTAATTTATGCAACCCTCTTAAAGACCTCTTTGTGCCTCAGTTTTCTTCAGTTGTAAAACAGGGATGATATCACATTTCATTGATTCTTTTTTTTTTTTTTTTTTTTTTTAAAGGACATATCATATTTATTCATACACATGCTGGAATTATTGGTGCAGACATTTAAATACATTTTCTTTGAGAAAGTCCTTTTTTTTTTTTTTTCTGATGGAGTTTCCCTCTTGTTGCCCAGGCTGGAGTGCAATGGTGCAATCTCAGCTCACAACAACCTCTGCCTCCTGGGTTCAAGCAATTCTCCTGCCTCAGCCTCCCAAGTAGCTGGGATTACAGGCATGCACCACCACGCCCAGCTAATTTTTTTTATTTTTAGTAGAGACGGGGTTTCTCCGTGTTGGTCAGGCTGGTCTTGAACTCCTGATCTCAGGTGATCTGCCCGCCTTGGCCTGCCACAGTGCTGGGATTACAGTCGTGAGCCACCACAGCTGGCCTGGGAAAGTCCATTCTTTTTTTTTTTTTTTAATTTATTCTTTTATTGATAATTCTTGGGTGTTTCTCACAGAGGGGGATTTGGCAGGGTCATGGGACAATAGTGGAGGGAAGGTCAGCAGATAAACAAGTGAACAAAGGTCTCTGGTTTTCCTAGGCAGAGGACCCTGTGGCCTTCCGCAGTGTTTGTGTCCCTGATTACTTGAGATTAGGGATTGGTGATGACTCTTAACGCGCATGCTGCCTTCAAGCATCTGTTTAACAAAGCACATCTTGCACCGCCCTTAATCCATTTAACCCTGAGTGGACACAGCACATGTTTCAGAGAGCACAGGGTTGGGGGTAAGGTCACAGATCAACAGGATCCCAAGGCAGAGGAATTTTTCTTAGTGCAGAACAAAATGAAAAGTCTCCCATGTCTACTTCTTTCTACACAGACACGGCAACCATCCGATTTCTCAATCTTTTCCCCACCTTTCCCGCCTTTCTGTTCCACAAAGCCGTCATTGTCATCCTGGCCCGTTCTCAATGAGCTGTTGGGCACACCTCCCAGACGGGGTGGTGGCCGGGCAGAGGGGCTCCTCACTTCCCAGTAGGGGCGGCCGGGCAGAGGTGCCCCTCACCTCCCGGACGGGGCGGCTGGCCGGGCAGGGGGGCCAACCCCCCCCCCCCCCACCTCCCTCCCGGACGGGGCGGCTGGCCGGGCGGGGGGCCGACCCCCCCACCTCCCTCCCGGACGGGGCGGCTGGCCGGGCGGGGGGCCGACCCCCCCACCTCCCTCCCGGACGGGGCGGCTGGCCGGGCGGGGGGCCGACCCCCCCACCTCCCTCCCGGACGGGGCGGCTGGCCGGGCGGGGGGCCGACCCCCCCACCTCCCTCCCGGACGGGGCGGCTGGCCGGGCAGAGGGGCTCCTCACTTCCCAGTAGGGGCGGCCGGGCAGAGGCGCCCCTCACCTCCCGGACAGGGCGGCTGGCTGGGCGGGGGTGCTGACCCCCCCCACCTCCCTCCCGGACGGGGCGGCTGGCCGGGCGGGGGGCTGACCCCCCCCACCTCCCTCCCGGACGGGGCGGCTGGCCGGGCAGAGGGGCTCCTCACTTCCCAGTAGGGGCGGCTGGGCAGAGGCGCCCCTCACCTCCCGGACGGGGCGGCTGGCCGGGCGGAGGGCTGACCCCCCCACCTCCCTCCCGGACGGGGCGGCTGGCCAGGCGGGGGGCTGACCCCCCTACCTCCCTCCCGGACGGGGCGGCTGGCCGGGTGGGGGGGCTGACCCCCCCATCTCCCTCCCGGACGGGGTGGCTGGCCGGGCTGAGGGTCTCCTCACTTCCCAGTAGGGCGGCCGGGCAGAGGCGCCCCTCACCTCCCGGACGGGGCGGCTGGCCGGGCGGGGGGCTGACCCCCCCACCTCCCTCCCGGACGGCATGGCTGGCCAGGCGGGGGGCTGACCCCCCCACCTCCCTCCCGGATGGCACGGCTGGCCGGGCGGGGGGGCTGACCCCCCACCTCCCTCCCGGATGGGGCGGCTGGCCGGGCGGGGGGCTGACCCCCCCCCCACGTCCCTCCCGGACGGGGTGGCTGCCGGGCGGAGACGCTCCTCACTTCCCAGATGGGGTGGCTGCCGGGCGGAGAGGCTCCTCACTTCTCAGACGGGGCAGCTGCCGGGCGGAGGGGCTCCTCACTTCTCAGACGGGGTGGTTGCCAGGCAGAGGGTCTCCTCACTTCTCAGACGGGGCGGCCGGGCAGAGACGCTCCTCACCTCCCAGACGGGGTCTCGGCCGGGCAGAGGCGCTCCTCACATCCCAGATGGGGCAGCGGGGCAGAGGCGCTCCCCACATCTCAGACGATGGGCGGCCGGGCAGAGACGCTCCTCACTTCCTAGATGTGATGGCGGCTGGGAAGAGGCGCTCCTCACTTCCTAGATGGGATGGCGGCCGGGCGGAGACGCTCCTCACTTTCCAGACTGGGCAGCCAGGCAGAGGGGCTCCTCACATCCCAGACGATGGGCGGCCAGGCAGAGACACTCCTCACTTCCCAGACGGGGTGGCAGCCCTCATTGATTCTTTAGACTCACTTTTTGGGTACCATTTATAATTTTAACATCTCAAATCAAGATTTTTCTTATAATCAATGGTATGTCATTTTTCTTTTGTAGTAGCACATAAAAATAGTATGTTTTACAATCAGTGAAGTCTTAGATTTGATATAATACAGTAATATCCACCATTCAATTATTTGAGGATCGGAATTAGTGAATAATTGCTTAGTTCAATAAATGGTGAATTTGTCTTTATTTTTACTTTTTTCCTACTAGTCTCTCTGCCTCCTATATTGTGCCTTAAGACTATCCTTTACACACCTTCCTAATGATATATTTAAAAATGTATTTTTTACTAACTCCCTTGCTGATGTATACCCCCAGCTGCAGTGATTCTTAAGGAGAAGGACATGCCTCACTCCCCTCCACCACCTTCCTCAAAACCTTATGATAGTTCAGTGACACTGAGTGATTGAGGGAAGTGTGTTATTTAAGTGAATTTTCATGAATTTTTTTTTAAGTTGGGGACCACTGCCAAAAGGGTGAAGCTGCAGCCCCTTCTTATGTACAAAGACCTCCATGAGCATGCCCAGCCTGCCTGTCTAGCCTCACCTCTTGCTTTGAACTTTACACTCCAGTGATACTGAACTATTTTTGTAACTTGTGTTTAGGGATGTTACAGCTTTGGAAGTCTTTGAGCCAGCATGTAAAGGGCGAGCAGGTGGACTGGGGCACAGGGCTGTTCCATGGGCAGTGATTTAGAAGGAGCAGGAACTGTGGGGATGGAGATGGTCTCCTTAGAAACAGTTTTATGGGATCTAGGTGTGGCATTTGGACTTTTTTTCTTTTTTTGTTTTATGGCCAAATTGTGCTTCACTTATCTGCCTGCCTATGTGGTTGCCTTAGGCAGAGTGATAGAATCCCAGGGTAGAGGGCAGGGACTTACTCTGTGTTGCTCCAGAAGACACAGGTAGGATCGGGGGTGGAAATTATTTGATGCTTGTTGTAGCTCAGTACAGTTAAAAACTCTCTGACAGTTGTTGCTGCTCAACAGCCCACTGAGCAGCTTGGAAACAGTAGTGAGCTCTCTTCATGGAGGCGAAGGATCTGTCACCAGAGTGAAGGATCTATACTGTTGCAGGAGCCAAAGAACAGAATCCTGCACTGGGAAAGAGGTTGGTCAAGATGACTTTGATTATAACTACCAAATTAACCAACATCCGAGTACTTACTAAGAACTAGGCACGTAATAGATAGCTAAGTGCTTTATATACAGTGTCTCATTTATTTCCTACATCATCTTTTTTAATCTTTAGAATAAGCCTGGCAGCTAAGAACTCTGGTTCTCCCCATTTTACAGATGAAGAAACTGAGGTTTATTGGTAGGAAGCCTCAGTTTCTCTAAGGTCACACAGCTGGTAAGTGATAGAGCCACATTCAGATCCTGGACTCTGATTATGGACCCGCTCCCTCTACACTCTGCAATGCTGCCTGTAGTATTCCCGCCTGCTTTGACATCCTAAATGTGGGGAAATGTGTTTGTGTCATGTTTTCTTAGCAGATAAGCAACCAAGGAAGGATGAAATTCAAAAGGACAAGGTCTGGATCTTTTTCTGTACTTAGCACTGTGCTTGGCATTTGGGATCAGCAGTGCAAACAGGTAGTAGCCAAAGGAGGATGAAACACTGGGTTAGAAAGAAAAAGTCCTGCTAGAACATTAAAAAAAAAAAAAATGATTTCACGGAGAACCCTGACTCATAATAGGAACTGGTTTTTTTAAAAAAGGAAGTAATAATATGTAGTGAGTATACTTTACTGCAGTCAACTATATATATTCAAAGAGCATAAAATATGAAGCCAGTGAGTGAGTGATCCTTTTATTAATTAAAAAAGAAGTTGAGTTGGGCGCGGTGGCTCATGCCTGTAATCCCAGCACTTTGGGAGGCCGAGTTGGGCAGATCACAAGGTCAGGAGTTCAAGATCAGCCTGGCCAACATAGTGAAACCCTATCTCTACTAAAAATAGAAAAATTAGCCAGGCGTGGTGGCACATGCCTGTAATCATAGTTACTCAGGAGGCTGAGGCAGGAGAATTGCTTGAACGCAGGAGGCGGAGGTTGCAGTGAGCTGAGATCGCACCACTGCACTCCAGCCTGGGGGACAGAGCAAGACTCTGTCTCAAAAAAAAAAAAAGAAGATGAATTAGTAGAGCATGAAGAATAATGAATGAGTTGCTAGGTAATTTGCCATTCCCTCTGCCTGGATGCCTTTTCCTCCAATTGCCAGTTAGTTTTAAGGCCACCCTTCTCTGAAATAACATAGTACTTTGTACTTGGGTCATGGTATTTATCACAGACTTCCTTTTATTATAGTTAATTCTGTACATGTTTAATCTTTCTTACTTGATTCTAAGCTCTTTAAGGACAGGGTCCACATCTTATCTTCATTTCCTTCTTCCAGCTCTTAACAATCTGTGATGTTAAGCATATTTGAAAATAGACATTGTTAGAGATTATGTTCTTTTAGTGAAAAATCGGCCAGGTGCTGTAATCCCAGCACTCTGGGAGGTTGAAACAGAAGGATTGCTTGAGCCCAGGAGTTTGAGATCAGCCTGGGTAACATGGTGAAACCCTGTCTCTACAAAAAATACAAAAATTAGCTGGGTGTGGTGATGCAGGTCTGTGGTCCCAGCTACTCTGGAGGCTGAGGTGGGATCACTTGAGCCTGGGAGGCCATGGCTGCAGTGAGCCATGATCACGCCTCTGCTCTGCAGCTTGAGTGATAGTGACAGAGCAAGACCCTGTCTCAAAAAAAAAAAAGAAAAAAATCAGTGAATGCCTTGAACCTAACACACTGCCTTTTATGTGGTAGGTACAGTGGGCTCACTGAAACATTCAACTTGTTCAACTCTATCCATTTGTCCAAAAACAAAAAGGAAATGAAAAATTCTAAATACAGTACGAATATGCCCTCAATTCTACTTAATTAGTATATGTCTGGAATGAGTGTGACATGGAAGATTTGAATCTGCTCTTCTTTGCCTCTGCTCTCATGTGCCTGTGCTCATGTGTATCGTAGAGTGCTTAGAGTGATTCTAATGCTTAAAACAAATTTTCAATCTCTGTGGCCCCTAAACCAGCCAGCCGTTTCATCTGATGTGTAAGACAAGGCTCCACTGGATTCATTCATTGCCCACTGAAACAATGTATGATCCTGTGAGTGAAAGAGAGAAAGAAATCAATGGCTAGGGATTGAATGTCTTGTGGAATTTTATGACAAGAAGACATCTAGGGAAAACCATGGAAATGTCCAGTCTGAAGATCAAACAGTTCATAAAAGTGATTCAGAAGACACTAAGAGCAGGTGAAAGGGAAAAACAGAACTTTACAAAGCAAAGTTGCTTTCTTGGCTTGCTTTCTTCAGAGCTGCTTAGGACCAGACAGCTCTATGTGCCTGAGAGTTCCTGAAGGAATCTTAGCATTAAAATACAATTTACCATGAAATACTATGCAGCCATAAAAAAAGGATGAGTTCATGTCCTTTGCAGGGACATGGATAAAGCTGGAAACCACCATTCTCAGCAAACTAACACAAGAACAGAAAACCAAACACGACATGTTTTCACTCATAAATGGCAGTTGAACAATGAGAACACATGGGCACAGGGAGGGGACCATCACACAACAGCACCTCTCGGGGGTAGGGGGCTAGGAGAAGGGTAGCATTAGGAGAAATACCTAATGTAGATGACCAGTTGATGGGTGCAACAAACCACCATGGCACGTGTATAGCTATGTAAAAACCTGCATGTTCTGCACATGTACCCCAGAACTTAAAGTATAATTTTTTTTTAAAAAAGTACAATTCATAGGCTGGGCGCAGTGGCTCATGCCTGTAATCCCAGCACTTTGGGAGGCCAAGGTGGGCAGATCACTAGGTCAGGAGATCGAGACCATCCTGGCTAACATAGTGAAACCCCCGTCTCTACTAAAAATACAAAAAATTAGCCGGGCGTGGTGGTGGGCGCCTGTAGTTCCAGCTACCCAGGAATCTGAGGCAAGAGAATCACTTGGACCTGGGAGGTGGAGGTTGCAGTAAGCCTAGATCGTGCCACTGCACTCCAGCCTGAGCGACAGAGTGAGACTCCATCTAAAGAAAAAAAAATACAATTCATTACTTAGATATTAACAATGAGCTGCAAAAAAAGCACTCCCCCCAAAAAAAGCCCAATTACATTTAGAATATTCTTTTTTAGAAGTCATGGGAGTGTGTAATACGCTTTTAAAGTTTTCTGTTAAAATGATTTAATGGTGATTTAATGTCTCTTTCATGCATATTGTTTTGTCTCCCTAGCTAGAAGTCAACTTTTCAATGAAGTCAAGTATGCCTGGTACTTGTTAATGTGTTCCATGTTGTTCACTGTAGTTACACCTACATAGACATCCAGCCAACAGTCATTGAGTCTAATTACCATATGTTCATTTTTAGGTAAAAGAGATGCAAGGGAATGAGGATAGTCAGTCCTTTGCTTGTCTTAAAACACCGATAAAACATTGGACTTTGGAATGAAAGTACGAGTAAGAGAGAAAAAGGCATATGTACCAGGTCCTCAATACTACTCATAAAGATATCTTCTTCCTCTTTTCATTTCTTTCTAAAATGTATAATATGGGAACTAGAGTCTGACTCTGGGCCAAGATGACTCTCAGATGATTTTCTCTTCCCGTCAGTGCTGAGTCACCTCAGAGCGTCGTTACCCTTTGGCTCATTAATAGCCACCATGCCCCCAAGTATAGACAAGAAAATGATGCATTTCCCATCTCTCAACAATCTCTTCCCTACTTATTTTCTGAAGCCCTTTCCTAGGAATTAATGAAACCAGCTATGCCACGAAGGAGTAGAAAAAGCTATCAGCCTGGGAGGCCAAGGCAGGCGGATCACAAGGTCAGGAGATCGAGACCATCCTGGCTAACACGGTGAAACCCTGTCTCTACTAAAAATACAAAAAATTAGCCAGGTGTGGTGGCGGGTGCCTGTAGTCCCAGCTACTCCGGAGGTTGAGGCAGGAGAATGGCATGAACCTGGGAGGCGGAGCCTGCAGTGAGCCAAGATCACGCCACTGCACTCCAGCCTGGGCGACAGAGCGAGACTCTGTATCAAATAAAAAGAAAAAGCTATCAGCACTCAGCTTTTTATATAGTAGACTAGAGTCTTGTCAGTGATTAACAATTCTTTTTCAAAACTTGAGTGTTGCAGTATTGGCATCCTCATGTTTTAATACAAGCACTGTGACCATGCTCTTTTATATTTGATTAGTGTTTTTGTCTTCTATGTATAACACAGTTATTTTGAGAAAGACTCCACAGTAGGAATGTGAGCCTCTGTCTTTTGTAGCACAACAGGCATTTGCCCTACAGTGCAAGGGACCTGGAGAGGGATTGATCTAGATTAGAGGTTTCTATGGATTCGATTAAGCTTGGGATGTGGCATGCATTAACATGCTGCTAGTGTCTCAAAAGATTTTACTTATCCTCTCTGCCTGTGAAATTTTCGGTTAGATGGAATCCTGCCATCCCAATACAGAACTGCATTTTATTATAGAAACAGTATTGTTCATATTAGGTGTAGTGGCAGGGGTGCTCTCTGGTACCACATTTTGGGTAGCTTTATGGATTTAAGTCTGCTTTCATGAGCTGCTAGCCTTGAAAATCTTACTTATTACCTTTATAGAAAAATGCATTGTAAATTTAAATACTTAAACATTTGGAACATGACCAATTTAAGGTTTGGAGACTGTGTTTTTACTAGAGTAAAAGGTAATTTAAATACCTTGCTTATGCCTTCTTGTTTATTATCTTCAGGTACCAGATCAGTCTGTTTTTAAGTGATCTCTGTTGACATGGGATTAGATTCAGAACTTTCTTTGATTTCAGTGAGAAACAACCAGGGATGGAACCCTTGAAGAGCATGGAATCCTCTGTCCTTCCGGAGGGTTGTTGCAACTGACTTGTCCCCACCCCTAGTAGTTCTAGAGCTAGGTTCCTGAGGCACATCTGTATCCTTGAAGAAACACTTTTATTTTTCTTCTTAGATTCAATTCTGATATGAAACTAGCAGACTCATTTTAATCTACTTTTTTTTTTTTTTTTTTTTTTTTTTTTGTAACAGGGTCTCGCCCTGTCTCCCAGGCTGGAGTGCAGTGGTGCAATCACTGAAGTCTTGACTTCCAGGCTCAAGTGATCCTCTTACCTCAGCCTACCGAGTAGCTGGAACTACAGGCTTGTGCCACTATGCCCAGCTAGTTTTTAAACTTTTTTTTTTTAGAGAGACAGAGGTCTCACTATGTTGCCCAGGCTGGTCTTGAACTCCTGGGCTCAAGCAATCCTCCTTCCTAGGCCTCCCAAAATGCTGGGAATACAGGCATGAGCTGCTATGCCTGGTCTTAATCTACTTTTGTCTGCAGAGGTTAACTTTGTGTTGCAGACAGTAAGTAGGTCCAGTTATAGAAGCAAGTACCTTCAAGGGATGGAGGATGAGGTGATAGCATCCTAGAAAAGAAAAAATGAGGCCAGGCGAGGTGGCTCACACCTGTAATCCCAGCACTTTGGGAGGCTGAGGTGGGCGGATCACCTGAGATCAGGAGTTTGAGACCAGCCTGGCCAACATGGTGAGACCCCATTTCTACCAAAAAATACAAAAATTAGCCAGGTGTGCTGGGCGCAGTTGCTCATACCTGTAATCCCAGCACTTTGGGAGGCCGAGGCAGGCGGATCACAAGGTCAGGAGATCGAGACCATCCTGGCTAACACAGTGAAACCCTGTCTCTACTAAAAATACAAAAAATTAGCTGGGTGTGGTGGCACACGCCTGTAGTCCCAGCTACTCGGGAGGCTGAGGCAGGAGAATTGCTTGAACCCGGGAGGCGGATGTTGCAGTGAGCCGAGATCGCACCACTGCACTCCAGCCTGGGCCACAGAGCGAGACTCCGTCTCAAAAAAAAAAGAAAAAAAATTAGCCGGGTGTGGTGGCATGTGGCCTGTAGTCCCAGCTACTGGGGAGGTTAAGGCTGTAGGATCGCTTGAATCTGGGAGGTGGAGGTTGCAATGAGCCGAGATCATGCCACTGTATTCCATCCTGGGCGACAGAGTGAGACCATGTCTCAAGAAAAAAAAAAAATAAAGAGACACAGATGTCCAGAGGTGTTGGGGGAGAGTGGAGAGACTCGATAACAGGTTAGATTGTCTTTAGAGGAATTGACATTTTGACTACAGTACTCATTCCTACTCTTGACTATTTTCAGGGGTTCCAAGAGAAAAATTTAAATAGGACAGAGCTAAAAACACCGACTTTCACTCACTAAAATGTTGTCATAAATTTATGTATCTTGATCTTGGAAAACATCAGTATCTATGCCTCATTTTACCTTTTAAGATTTCAGATTTATCACCCGAAGCATTTTCTCTATTGCCTTCCCCTTATATCAAGATATCCTGTTGGTTTATTGGGGTTATCCTAATCTTTATGTCAGATGAAACTCATCCTGGTTGTAATTATTTTTAGGTTGAATTACCATTGGATTTGCCAAGTACTGAAAAATCAGTAGCACTTTTGTTTAAACTCTGTTAATAAACACTTCTGAGTGAATTTTGCTAGTGTCATTATTTCCCATGCTTGCTGAGTAGAAGGTTGAATTATTATTACTTCATAATTCATATTTGTTCAATGCACACTGTGTGAAGCTGAGTTTAGGCCTCTCGAAGACTTAGCCTCTTTCTTTCTGTTCCTGTGGTTTTGAATACCATTTACATGACTCACGTCTCAGATTTTCTTTCCCTACCAGCCTCCCTGTGTTGGTTTGTGACTTTATCTGTCAGTGTTCTCTCAGGTATTTACTTAGATTTCTGCAGGCATCCTCAAGGTCAGCGCATCAGCCAACTTCTGTTGTTTAACAGAACCCTTCTTTGTGCCCTGACTCTATCTCCAGTTCTTTAGGTACATGAGTTCAGTGTTGATTCTTGACTGCTTGCTCCCACACCCATGCTTGGCAGCCTCCAACTTTCTTAAGTCCCATCTATCTCCAATCAGAGAAATGTTAGCCATCTTTCATGGTCAACTTCATATTCAGTGGACAAGGTCTGAACTGACTAGCAGGACTAACACGGGCAGCTGTTCGCTCATCCATTGCTCACTTACACTTGAGTCATTTTGCTTACCAAAGGTCAGTTGTGATGTTTCCAGATCTCTTTATGCCAGTAAACTGGTACTGTAATTATGTAATTTGATTAAATAATATACAGATTAAATTATGAGGGAGAAAAGAAAATTATTCTGGCTGTGCATGGTGGCTCACGCCTGTAATCCTAGGACTTTGGGAGGCCGGGGTAGGCAGATTGCCTGAGCTCAGGAGTTCAAGACCAGCCTGGGCAACATGGTAAAACCTCGTCTCTACTAAAAATACAAAAAATAAGCTGGGCGTGGTGGCGGGCGCCTGTAGTCCCAGCTACTCAGGAGGCTGAGGCAAGAGAATCGCTTGAGCCTGGGAGACAGAGGCTGCAGTGAGCCGAGATCGTGCCACTGCACTCCAGCTGGGCAACAGAGTGAGACTGTTTCCAAAAAAAAAAAGAAAAGAAAATTACTCTGTGAAAAGTAAGAGGAATGCTTTGGAAGGACAAGTACTTTAAAAAGGAAATGAAGCTGAATTAGGTTTGGGCAAGATAACTATGGAAGAGTAGAGGTGGAAGGATCTTAAAAATCTAGGATTCTGTACTTACTGTTTCACAGCAGTTTGAGTTCTAACTTTAAGAAACTGGAAATTGTAGATGATGCATTCTGGGTGAGTTTTTTGCAATAATGGCAAAAAACTCTAATCAGCAGAAGAGATCCTTCTAGGTTGGGCACATTGGCTCACACCTGTAATCCCAATGCTTTGGAAGGCTGAGGCGGGAGGATCCCTTGAGCTCAGGAGTTCAAGACCAGCCTGAGCAATATAGCAAGACCTCATCTCTACTTAGAAATTAAAAAAAAAAAGAAAAAAAGCTGGGCATGGTGGCACATGCCTATAGGCCCAGCTACTCATGAGACTGAGGCAGGAGGATTGCTGGAGCCCAGGAGTTCAAGGCTGCAGTGAGCTATTATCATGGCACTGCACTCCAGCCTGGGTGACAGAGCAAGACCCTGTCTCTAAAAAAAGAAAGAAAGAAAGAAGGAAGGAAGGAAAGAAGGAAGGAAGGAAAGAAAAAAGTAAAGAAAGAAAGAGAGAGAGAGAGAAAGAAAGAAAGAAAGAAAGAAAGAAAGAAAGAAAGAAAGAAAGAAAGAAAGAAAGAAAGAGAAAGAAAGAAAGAGGGTTTTTTGGCCCTAGCCAAAAGTTCAGTGGCTCTCAAAGTTTTGTTGTTTATAACAATGATGGTAGGCTTGAACATTCACGGGAAAAGTCACAGTAAAAGTCAGATTAACCATATCTTTATTACTTTAGTTTTAAATGCTATCCATGGACTCTCAGTTACTGAGGGTGAGGAAATCAGTGTTCGTATTCTACCTCCCTCCTTTTTCCCCTCTTCTCTTCCTAGTTTTTGCTAGCTGGAGTTTTATACATCATCAAAGCATATAGTATTGACGATCTGTTGTTACCCTAATCCTATTTTAGTCTTAGACCTACAGTTAAGTAGTTTTCAGTGCTCACCGTAAGTTTTTGCCGTAGTTTTTTTGTTTTTGTTTTTGTTTTTGTTTCTGAGACGGAGTTTCACTCTTGTTGCCCAGGCTGGAGTGCAGTGGCACGATCTTGGCTCACTGTAACCTCCTCCTCCTGGGTTCAGGCGATTCTCCTGCCCCAGCCTCCCAAGTAGCTAGAATTACAGGCACATGCCACTTCTGCCCAGCTAACTTTTGTTTGTTTGTTTTTTTCTGAGATAGAGTCTCGCTCCATCACCCAGGCTGGAGTACAATGGTGCGATCTCAGCTCACTGCAGCCTCCACCTCCCGGGTTCAAGCAATTCTGCCTCAGCCTCCTGAGTAGCTGGGATTACAGGTGCATGCCACCACACCTGGCTAATTTTTGTATTTTTAGTAGAGACGGGGTTTCACCATGTTGGCCAGGCTGGTCTTGAACTCCTGACCTCAAATGATCCACCCACCTTGGCCTCCCAAAGTGCTGGGATTACAGGCATGAGCCACCAGGCCTGGCCCTGCCATAGTTTTTCCAGTCACCTGTTAGTTGGCACAAGTGCTTCCTTTTGTAGATTCCTTAAGAAATACTTGGCTGGGTGTAGTGGCTCATGCTTGTAATCCCAGCACTTTGGGAGGCCAAGGCGGACGGATCACCTGAGTTTGGGAGTTTGAGACCAGCCTGACCAACATGGAGAAACCCCATCTCTACGAAAAATACAAAATTAGTCAGGCGTGGTGGCACATGCCTGTAATCCCAGCTACTCAGGAGGCTGAAGCAAGAGAATCGCTTGAACCGGGGAGGCAGAGGTTGTGGTGAGCGGAGATCGCGCCATTGCACTCCAGTCTGGATAACAAGAGTGAAACTCTGTCTCAAAAAAAAAGAAAAAAAGAAATACCTGGGAATAATGGTCCCCATTCTGTTACCCTTGCTGGACAGTTGACTGGGTATAAAGTCCTTGAGTCTTCTGGGCACAGTGGCTTACGCCTGTAATCCCAGCACTTTGGGAGGCCAAGGTGGGCGGATCACAAGGTCAAGAGATGCAGACCATCCTGGCCAACATGGTAAAACCCCGTCTCTACTAAAAATACAAAAATTAGCTGGGCATGGTGGCGCATGCCTATAGTCCCAGCTACTTGGGAGGCTGAGGCAGGAGAATCGCTTGAACCCAGGAGGTGGAGGTTGCACTGAGCCGAGATCGCGCCACTGCACTCCAGCCTGGCAACAGAGCGAGACTCCGTCTCAAAAATAAAAATAAAAATAAATAAAGTCCTTGAGTCACACTTTCTGTCCTTGAGAATTTTGTAGGTGTTGTTCCATTTTCTGTTAGCATTAAATATTAATGTGGAAATTTTCATTATTTTGTTTCTCTTTTAAGTGATTTGATCTTTTTGCCTGGTTGCAGGAACCCAGAAACCTTACCTAAAGGTGTATCTTGGTACTGCCTATTCTGAATTTGTTTCCCCTGGGATACAGTGTGACCTTTCAGTGTGTAGACCCCAATCCTCTTATAGTTCAGAAACACCTTAGATTCTATCTTTATGAACATATCTTTACATATTTTTCCCATTCATGTTAAAGTTTTCTTTTATGCAAATATTACATCTCCTTTGCTGTCTTTTGTAACTGTTTCTTCTCTATTTCTTTTAGCCCTTTTTGGTTTCATTTTTTTTTTCCATTTCTCTCCTTTTGTTCCTAGTGTGTTTTTAGCAGTTTCTTCTCCCTTTGCTTCTTCCAGTTTCACCTTCATTTCTGTAACAGTATTTTTCCTTTCACTTCTTTCCTCAGTTCTGCCAGTATGCAGCTTGTCTTCTCTTCTCGTCTCCCTACCTCTGCTAAAGTTCTTGTATTTCTGCTTTGAGCTCTCATTTCATAGAGACAACTATTTTATCAAGTTTTCTTTTTTTCTTTGTGTAAAATATTTTATTACCATTGTATCTAGTCCATGGAGGCCCTTTTCCAGTCTGTGGTCTTAGTCTGCCATTTGGTTTTCCTATTTCTTTCCTAATTTTTTCTCGTTGTATATTTATATAGATCCTGTTTAGATTTTTTGTATACTTATCTTTAAATAGGCAAGTTTTTCAGGGACCAGCTGTTTTGCAGGATGTTTGTTGGAGGAGCTACCAAAACTCTGTTCTGGGCTAGCTACAGTTGTTCCCTTGATTTAGGGTTCTGGGTGAGTCCGTTTACCCTTAGTCTCTAGCCAGCCAATCGAGATAGGCAAGGCGTCTCTTAGCATCTCCACAATGCAAAGGATGTCTTCTCTACTACCACAGACACCACCTCTGTGAGGCAAATGTAGCTTGCGTGATTTCTCATTTAGCCTCAACTTCAGGTCCAAGGAAGTTCCTGCCTTCCAAAAACAAGGAATTAATTTGGTGCTGGAGTGTGTCCTTTACCCACAGGAAGTACATATTTTTGCAGATCTTTCTGAGATCACCAGCTTCCCTGTCCTCTCCCTGTAGCATCCTTTCTTCTTTTTCTTCTGTGAAGCAAAGGAGTCCCTGCCTGAGCTCCCTGCTTTTGACAGCTTTTTCACCTGTTTGGGGGTTTGGAATTTTGGATATCCTGTAGTTATAACAAAAATGGAGTTTGCATTTTTATTTCTTCTTTTTGCATTTGGAACATATTTTGAACAGCATTTGAAAATGCTGACTTTATGATGCAGTGTTAAATAAGAAGTTTTAACTGACTTTTTCTGTTAACCAGCCACTAGTCTCCACGACATCATGTGTTAGGCCTTTTACTATACCTTCTCCAGAAAGCCCCCACCACCACACTGTTGTCTATCTTCGAAGTCCCTAAAGCCCAAGGAATATGCTACTTAGATATATGGAAAGCCTTTCATTCATTTAGCATGCCTACTCTGAGCGTTGTTCTAGGCCTTGGAGATAAAGCATGGAAGAATTAATACAAGATATTGACACACCAAAGACAAGTCTTAAATGATTTCATGTGGACTAGGGGTCAGGGATGAATAGAGTGGAAGACATAGTTTGGGATTCTGAGGAAGTATGATATAAAGGGTAGAACATGAGCTCCGGAATCAGCACCATTCTGCTGCTAATATACATGACATTGGGATCATTTTATTGCCTTTTCCTCATATATAAAATGTATCAATTTCTTCATATATAAAGTGAAGTCAGGCCAGGCGTGGTGGCTCACGCCTGTAATCTCAGCACTTTGGGAGGCCAAGGCAGGGGGATCATCTGAGGTCAGGAGTTCCAGACCAGCCTGGCCAACATGAGGAAACCCCGACTCTACTAAAAATATAAAAATTAGCTGGGCATGGTGGCGGGTGCCTGTAATCCCAGCTACTCAGGAGGCTGAGTTGGGAGAATCGCTTGAACCCAGGAGGCGGAGGTTGCAGTGAGCCAAGTTCACACCACTGTACTCCAGCCTGGGTGACAGAGTGAGACTCAGCCTCAAATAATAATAGTAATAATAATAATAAAGTGAAGATTATATTACCTACCTTAGATGAATGTTGTAAAATTAAGGTAAGTTACATAAAGTACTTGGTTCATAATAGATACTCAACAAGTACTACTTTCTACCCACACAGGGATTGGCTAAATAAAAGGAATAAATACTGAAAGTGCAGGTATAGAGGACTATTTCTCTCCTTTTTTGTTAAATTGTGGTAAAATATGTAACATATAGTTTCCTGTCTTCACCATTTTTAAGCTTACAGTTCTGTGGCATTAAGTATATCCACATTGTTGTGCAGTCGCCACCACCATCCGTCTCCAGAGCTCTTCATCTTGCAAAACAGCACCTCTGTACACATTAAACAATAGCCACCACTGTCCTCTTCCCCCTGCCTCATGGCAGCCCCCGTTCCAGTTTCTGTCTCTGAATTTGACTACTCTGGGTACCTCACAGGAGTGGAATCACACAGTCCTCATCCTTTTGTGTGTGGGTTGTTTCACTTATAGTATCTTCAAGGTTCATCCGTGTTACATTGTGTCTCAGAATTCCCTTCCCTTTTACAGCATCTCAATTCAGATGAAAAAAAAAAAAAGAATTCTTTTCCTTTTTAAGGCTGAATAATATTCTGTTGTATTTCTATGGCACATTTTGTTGATCCAGTCGTCTGTTCATGGACACTTGGGCTGCTTCCACCTTTTGGCTGTTGTGAATAATACTGCTATGAACATGGGTGTACACATTCTCTTCAAGTCTTTACTTTCAGTTCTTTTGAGTGTATATCCAAAAGTGGAATTGCTGGGCCATATGGTAATTCTGTTTTTAATCTTTTTGAGGAACCACCATACTGTTTTCAGAGGCCTATTTCTTGATGGGGAAGTATAAACAGTGGAATTCCCCCAGGGAATAATTTTAAAACCAGTCTTGTTTAACATTTTGTAAATTATCTAAATATGAGACTTTTACCATTAAATCTTCATTTGCATATAGCTAATGAATAATTCATATTGTATAAAATGTAAGAACACCTCGTGAGAGTGTGTGTGTGCGTGTGTGTAGACAGAACAGTGGTTAATAAAGCTCAATGTGGGCACACACGCAAGGGAATACATTTGATTTATTATACTCTGTCCTCAAGATCAGAAGTTCCCTGCACTTACTGAGGGCAAAATACAGGGAGCCAATGCCAGAGAACTTCAGATGTCAGAAGTGCACAGTGCCCAGATATGCAGACACATCTTTCTTCTTGACTCTGCATTGCTGACAGAGTAAACTGGTGGTTGACTCTAGACTCTGGACCAGTGGTTCTCAGCTGGGGTGAATTTGCCCCCTGGAACACATATGACAATTCTGGAGACATTTTTGATTGTCAAGCTGGAGGAGTAGAGACCAGGGATGCTAGAGAACAGGCCACAGTGACAGGACAGCCCCACAGCAGAGGATTATCTGGTCCCAGATGTCACTAGTACCTAGGCTGAGAAGCCCTGCTCCAGACCCAAATTACCTTCTCAGCCTTGTCTTAGCCTCTCTCCTGCATAAAGAAAGTTGCCATCCCAGCCAGACCCAGGAGCTCCCCATACCTGCCCATACACCAGCTGAATTGCTCCTTCCAACATCTTCTACCTGAAATTCTTTCCCCTACCTCTCTAATGTCAGAGCCCAGCTTCCATCCTCCCACTGTCTCTGTGAAGCTCTCTGATCTCTCTAGCCACTGTACCCTTTCTTCTCTGACTTCCCCAGGACTATCCCAGTCATTTGGCACTTAGTTAACAATAGAAGGTTGTACTTGCTGTCTTCCCAACTTGACCGAAAGCACCTTGAGGGCCATTTGATGTGATTTGGTTTGAAATATGGAGTACCATTCCTTATGAACCACAGTGGGCATCTCTGCTTTGACCCACCCAGGGCTTTCTGTGACAGCTTTCCTACCACAAAGGGGTACAGTAGTTGAGTCACCTCCGTCCCATCACAGCAGTTAGGTACACTGAGATTCAGCTTTGTTTAGATGACTGCTAGCTAGATGGAACCTAAGCCCAAATGTGACCCTTATGCTTAGAAAGGTGTTTATGCTGAATCTGCTTTCTAATCTAAGCAGTAAGAAATGAGGTGAGGAGAGGTGCAAAGGAATTGGGCTCTATCTTGCTCTGATCACGTCCCTTCAGTGGAGCACAGGCTGGAGGATCTGCCTTATAGAAGGTGGAAGACATTCATTTCAGTTGCTTGGACAGGGATTATTCTGTCATAGCTGGACCTACTTAATGACAGTCAGTGTTGATGATGGTAATATTAATAATGAAAGCCACCATTCCTTACTTAGAACCCAGTGTGTCCTGGGCACCAGGCTAGGTGCTTTACACACATTTATCTCATCCAGTCCTCACTGCAATCCTGGAAGGAGGCTGAAGCACTTTAAAGGTCATTTGCCCAGGGCCACCCAGCTAGCAAGTAGCAGAGCCAGAATTTAAACAAGAGCTGTCAGACTTTGAAGCCTGTGCTCATAGCTACCACCTCGCTGCTGAGGGGAGAGATTCGTGTTGCCATGTGCCAAGACCTGGGAGAGACCCCTCGTTGTGTCACTGGGCAGGGGGGTTTGAGTGTCTGAGTTGTGAGTCAGGACAGGTCATATCTGACCACTCTGCTGCTGCAGGAAAAGGAAACCTCGTGGGTTACACTCTGACCACCACAGAGTATTCTGACTCCTGATTTTTGCTTCCCTTTTAGGTGCACTACATCCTCCAGGAGGTGGTGATGGGTGGGATGGTGTTGGAAACAAACATGAATGAAATCGTGGCTCAGATTGAGGCTCAAAACAGGCTGGAGAAATCCGAGGTGAGTAAGCAGCTGTGCTCTAGCCCTGGCTGGGTAGAGAAAACCTGGGCAGAGGCAGGAGTGTGTACATGTGTTGGTTTGTGTTGCTGTGAAACCTCGGGAAATGATACTCATCTTCTTTCTTCCTTGAGTCCATTGAAACTCATGGATTTGAAGGTCAGCCAGCCCTGAAAATTAAACAGGTAACAAGTTTGAAATCTCAGATTTTCAGGGTAGAAGAGCAAATAGAAAAGCCAGATGGCAGAGGAAGGCAAACAGCTTCTGGCTTGGGGGTTATGGCCCATGTTTGTGGTTTGTAATTCCTCCTTTGAAAGCCACTCGTTCCCTGGAGGGACCCAGAACCCTCTTCCCTAGTCCAGTGTGGTTTCCTAGTTTGTGTGCTCTAAGAGTCTGATCTCCCAGCAGCCATTTCTCGTGGTGTCTTTCAGACCTCAGAGTTGCCAATTTCCTTATTTCCAGTTAGCTTTATAAAAAACTACAGTAGAGTTTGGGCTAGGCTTGAAAATAACATACCCCAGTCCACCCCCACATGGTGCTGGGCTTGATAGAGATGTTCACATAAATTCTGTCCTATCCCTCTGAGGTCTCGCCGTCCCCTTCCTCAGCCTTCCCAGAGCACAGAGGTTACAGACGTATACTTTCACATGCAGAAATAGCAGAACAAATTACCTCTTTAATTATCTGAGTGTCTTAAAGAGCTTCTTTGCCTTGTATACGGAACTTGATCTTGCGAAACCAGGAATTCTTCTTTCTGTGAGGACTGGCAGTCCTGTGGAAGAAGCTTTTCCAGACCACAGCTATTGGTGGCAGCTATAGTTCTTTTAGAAATGTAGGCTGGGAAGATTCCAGGAATAGTAAGTGAGTCAGAGGCAAGGGGGTTGGAAATGAGAAGAAATGGAGACTTGCTGGGTGAGGGCAGAAGCAGAGTTGGTATCCGGAAAGAAGGCAATAGGGGAAAAATGATTGTGAGAGAGTTTTCATCCACTTTTGCCGTTCCCTCCACGTGGGGGTGAGCCTGCCAGGTGGGGGTTCACTGTAGATGTGCATACTCTTTGCGTTTTGTCACCAGCTCTTCTTTATCTGTGATACCCCCCACCTTCTCCCAGCTTGTTGCCACATGACACTTCCAAAGCCAGCTCTTTTCATCTCACATTATTAGTTGGCAAGCAGTTGCCCTAGAGCTGTGACTGTCCTTTTCCTTTTAAGAACTTCCCGGTGACTTTGCACGTTTCAATAAGAGTCTTTGGTCTCTTGAGGAAAGGGTTTTGTTTTGTTTTGTAACCAGAAAAGTGCCCCTGACAAATCACCTTAGATTATTTCAGCATTTATTGGGTACCCACCATGTGCCAGGTACTGTGAGAGGCTGGGGCTGTGAAACTGTATAGGCCACACTCCGCCTCTGAGGAGCTGGTAGTCTAGTAGGACTGCAGGCTTTGGATCCCTGTGCCAAACCCCATCTAACCTCAAGATTGTTTTGTTGGCTACTTTTGAGGAATAAGGGGGGAAAGTTAAAACTTCAGTTGTGTGTGCTCAGTTTGGAATTTTTCTAGGCATCCTTCACCTGTTATTTTGTTTGTTTGTTTGTTTGAGACAGAGTCTCACTCTGTTGCCCAGGTTGGAGTGCAGTGGCGTGATCTCAGCTCACCGCAACCTCCGCCTTCTGAGTTCAAGCGATTTTCCTGCCTCAGCCTCCCTAGTAGCTGGGACTACAGGGGCCCGCCACCACTCCTGGCCAATTTTTGTATTTTTGGTAGAGATGGGGTTTCACCATGTTGGCCAGGCCTATCTCGAACTCCTGACCTCAGGTGATCCACCCACCTCGGCCTCCCAAAGTGCTGGGATTACAGGCGTGAGCCACCACACCCATCCTGCTTGTTTGTTTTTGTTTTTGCTTTTTTTTTTTTTTTTTTTTTAGCATTAAGCAGATAACAGTGAGAATTTGTCTCATACTCGCCTCTCATTTCTTCTTAGGGTGGCCTTTCAGCAGCCCCTGCGCGGGCTGTGTCTGCTGTGAAAAACATCAACCTGCCAGAGATTCCTCGGAACATCAACATTGGCGATCTCAACATCAAAGTTCCCAACCTGTCCCAGTTTGTCTGAGGATCAAGTATTGGCCTGAAATAGAGTCCTTAAGACAAGCAAAGACAAGCAAGGCAAGCACGTCTGGAAACAGAACCCATTTTGAGCCTTAGAAGAGTCAAGCCTCAGGACCTGGAAACTTTGTGTCTGGGGAAGACTGTTTGGCATGGAATAGGGAAGGGATTCCTATTGACACTGCTCGGGTGCACCCAGTTCTCACATGTGCAGTCATGCCGTTCTCTGATGCATACGGCCACTGCAGATGTGAGGGGCCCTGCCTTCCTCAGTAGGGAGTCAACATGCCCAAGTCATTTGCACCTTTACCTCTCACATGGATGCTCCCAAGGGTTAGGGACTGCATTGAGCAGGCCCACCTGCTTCCCAGAACCTCCTCACTAGGGCTGAGCACCTTCTCTGAGTAGAGTCTTCATCCTTAGCACCACAGACTTCTGAGGTCCTGTGCCCTTTACTTGCTGGTGAGGTGTCATAGGTAGAAAAGGGCTGGCCCTTCAGATCTGGGGGTGTGGTGAGTGGCAAGTAAGGGCAGAATTTTAGGAGAACCAGAGTCACCCGCTGGCTCTACTGAGATTGTTACACCCAGAATCCTTTTGTGTTTTTTTGTGGTTTTTTTTTTTTGAGGTGGAGTCTTGCTCTGTCACCCAGGCTGGAGTGCTGTGGTGCAATCTCGGCTCACTGCAACCTCTGCTTCCCGGGTTCAAGCATTTCTCCTGTCTCAGCCTCCCCAGTAGCTGGGATTACAGGCACCCACCACCATGCCCAGCTAATTGTTGTATGTTTAGTAGAGACAGGGTTTCACCATGTTGGCCAGGCTGGGCTCGAACTCCTGGACCTCAAGTGATCTACCCGCCTTGGCCTCCCAAAGTGCTGGCATTACAGGTGTGAGCCACCGTGCCCGGCCACCAGAATCCTTTGGTATAGCCAAGCCTTTTGGTTACCGCCTCATGAAGAATATGCTTCCCGCATTGTCCTAGTCCCAGTTGTATTCTCACAGGTGTTATGTGCAGGACACAATCCAAATCATAAACCTGGCTCATGCCCAACACATTTCTGCTAATAGGGAGAGGGACCCACCACACACCCACACATGCCAGAGGTCCCTCCTCACAGAGGAGAGGGCCTGTGTCTGTAGAAGGTTAAAGCTGACAACATGTGAAACATCCCAGAATTATGACTCTTCCCAAGTTTAAAATACATTCTCCTCATGAGAGCAGAAGGTTTGTTGCTGTGTTGTGAATGATGAGCTGCCTCCATAGGGAACCCACTGCCACCTGGGCCAGCTTCTGGAGCATGAGAACCTGAGCCAGGGTCACCCTTGTGGGGCCTGGACATGACGCACGCTGGCTGCGACTAGGAGCAGGGCTGCCTCTTCTCCCTCCCCAAGGTCTGCTTGTGGGCACGCTCTGTTCCCTCAGGTGCCATTCTCCCAGGGCTTAGGCGCCCATAAATGTTCTTTCTGTGGTGGAGTAGGGCCTCCTGCTTCCATACTGTCGCATGGGCTAGATCTCAGGTGTGGTGTTGAGCCACCTTAAGATGAGGGCTGCTTCGCAGTAAAGTTTCCAGCCTGGGCCCCTCTTGGGCCTTCTGGCTGGGGACCCTCAGCCTCCTGATGCTGTTGCAGGGCAGGTCTGAGAGGGTGCCCAGCAGCACCCGGTGTCAGGGCCACCTTGTTTTCCATTTTTGAACAGCGCTCCCTGTGGTTTGTGCCCACTGCTCAATACAGCCTCCGATCCTCACTCTTGAAAGCTCCATGATAAGCACAGAGATGGGCAGTGTGGGTCAGAAGGTGGGCCGCTTCCTGTGGAAGAGGGAAGTGTAGGTGAATAGATATCAAAACCCCTGATGTCATTCTTTTGAGGGGTTGGATTTTCTTTTTTCTGGCAGACATTTCAGTACATTCACATTTCTCTCACATTTGCTGAATGTGAGATCAGAATAAAGGAGATCGGCGTTTATTTCGTACCTTCTGTAAGTTGGCATGAGCAAGATCATTCAACTGTCCTTACAACAGGCATTCTTATCCCCATTTTGCAGATGACGAAAGTAGACCCAGCTCCAGTAACCTTCCCTTAGATTACACGGGGCTGAGATCTGAGACTGTTCACTTGACTCCACTGTCCTTTTCTTTCCTCGCTGCTTAAGATGGCTTCTCCCAATGTTATCATCTTCTTTTTTATAGATAAGGAAACTGAGCCTCAGAGAGTCTGACTTCTCACAAACCGTGGTCTAAATAGGCTTGATTTTCTAAGGTGGCCAGTGATCATGTCATAGAGTATAAGAGCCAAAGAGTCGTCTGTGTCCCTCCATTTAACTGATGTTGAAGCCGAAGCCCAAGGTGGTAAATGTTATGTTGAGGGTCACAAATCCAGAGCCACATCCCTCTTCTTGAGTTCGTTTGTTACGTGGTTTAATGCATTACTGCAGGACAGCCCTTATGCTAGATTTCCTGGGATAGCCTAGATTTTGAATGTTTTGCCTGCCAGAAACCAATGGTTTTAAAAAATCATTGAGTGGTCCTACAGATTCAAAGCGAGCATCCAAACATCCCTCACATGGCCTCTTACAATGACATAAAACTGAAGCCCACTTTTTTATTTGGAAAACTCAATCCCTTTGGACAAGCCACAATAATTTTTCATTAACTACTTGAGGTTGCCTGCAAATTCAGCTAGCTTTCCAGCCTGCTATCAGCAAAGCCATAAACATCTTTTTTAAAAATAGGTTAAGGTTGGCCAGGTGCGGTGGCTCACGCCTGTAATCCCAGCACTTTGGGAGGCCGAGGCGGGCAGATCACGAGGTCAGGAGATCGAGACCATCCTAGCTAACACAGTGAAAACCCATCTCTACTAAAAATACAAAAAATTGGCCAGCCGTGGTAGTGGACACCTGTAGTCCCAGCTACTCAGGAGGCTGCGGCAGGAGAATGGCATGAACCCGGGAGGCAGAGCTTGCAGTGAGCCAAGATCGCACCACTACACTCCAGCCTGGGCAACACAGCAAGACTCCGTCTCAAAAAAAAAAAAAAAAAAAATAGGTTAAGGTTGTATAGAATACTAGGCTTTCCTTTTTTTGTGAGATGGGGGTCTCACACTGTGGCTCAGGCTGGAGTGCAGTGGTGTGATCATGGCTCACTGCAGCCTCGAAGCCCCGGGGTCAAGTGATCCTCTCACCTCAGCCTCCTAGGTAGCTGGAACCACAGGCACGCAACCACCACTCCTGGCTAGTTTTATTTTTTTAGTAGAATAAGGTCTCACTATGTTGCACAGGCTGGTCTCTAACTCCTTACCTCAAGCCATCCTCCCGCCTTGGCCTCCCAAACATGTTGGGATTACAGGTGTGAGCCACTGGACCTGGCCAAATACTGGGTTTTCAGTGCTCACTGCCACTAATAAAAATCTGAAATTCTTTCATTATGCAATTTCTAAGTGCCTGGTGAGGGCCAAGCTCAGTTCTAGGCTCTGAAGATTAAGAGAGAAACAAGGCTCTGTCTGCTCCTGTTGTCTCTGTGAGCATCTTTGACAGAGTGCTCAGATTGTTGGGATATAGTGCATCGGACTGGCAGCCTGAATTTGTGGAGACCGCAGTCAGTAACTTTGTGATATATGGAATATTTAGAGGACAGTAACCCATTTCCCTACGCCCTACCTGATCACATCGTGCCCTGCTGGGCCATACCCCAAACAGCCCACCTTCCTCTAGGCCTGGCCATGGCCCTGTGCCTGCCACATTGAGGATTAAGTCAGGATATCTTGAGCCCTCTCAAATCCCTGTTTATTCAGGCCTCTGCCACATATAGAGCCAGCCTTCTGTCCCCACCACTTCCACTACCATGGAGCCCACTTAGTAAAACGCTCTCTGGGCCCAGCTTCGCCAGAAAAGACACCAGGGGAGCAAGGCTCAAACCAGGGGCAGCTAAATCTGATCTTGTGGACCAGTCTCTAGTAAGGGCTTTCAGCGTGGCTGTCTGTCCATTGCTTTCCAAATAGGATGCAGCAATGATTGGTACATGGGTATTAAGATCGGTAGTAGGGGCTAGTCCAAGTTTAGCAATAGCCAAACTGGAGAGCCTCTGAAGTATGAGAGTCCCAGAGGGATTTGTCAGCTCCTGGCAGACATCCTGATTTTCACCTTCCTGAGTCTACCCTACCCCAGAGGGTGCCAGTCTCACTGTGGTGATGGTTAGCCCAGTGTGTGCTGCACTCACACACCAGCACGGGGTCCGTGCTTGCAGGCTGGTGGATGCTGTCCTCTGGGTTAAGACTGTCTCCCTTCTCGGGAGCACTGGAGGGTTCTCCATCTGCGTGTTTCAGTGGAAGTTGGCAGATACGAAAACAGGCCCCTATAGGGAAGCAGTTCCATGAAAATGATTAATTCTTTCCAAAAGACTTAAAATTTTTTCCTATTTCAATTTTCCTTTCAAAAAAGGAAATACATTCATGTAGTTCAAAACTTAAGAAAACAAAAGTCTGTTCAGCAAAAGACTCCCACTCCGGTTCCCCAAACGCTGAGCCCCACCCCCCATCCCTGGTAGCAAGAAGTGTTTCCAATTTTAAGGTTAAGAAACAAAGTCCCTGGATTTGTGTTAGGGATGTCTTCCTGAGAGTGGGTTGTGTTCCGTTTGACCCTGGCGGTTGACCTCGGCCCACTAGGATCATGCCGCCCTCTCCAGGGAGGAGGGCCTCCCCATCACCCTGTACAGTGGCACCCCAGCCCTGGCACTGCCCGCCCTTGCTCAGCGTACCTTTCCCATGGCACTCTGACGTACTGGATGTTTGGTTTCTGAAGTTACTGGCTGTTTACCCTGCCGGGATGTAAGCCCCTCCAGGGCAGGGGCTTGTCTCGTGTTCAGTGCTGCATCCCAGCTGCTGGGCACGGTACCTGGTCCATGGCGTTCAATAAATAACTGTTGGATGAGTGAACGGTTGAGGCAAATGGCAGTTCATTCTAACAGTCTCAGCATGTGCTCTCCAGGTCCCTGTGCTCAGCACTTGGGAAGGAGAACCAGAATAGTGGTATTGGAAGCAGGAAGTGGGAAGGACCCGATGATGGCTCGTGGAGGCTGAGGGAGAGGAGAATGGCAGAGCTGGTGTTGGCAGGTGGAGCCCGTGTAACGAGGAGGCGCAAGGATGGGGCTCTCGAGAGAGGGAGGGGGTTTGGGAGGGTGGCAATCAGGAGTTTGGATGTGGAACGCATTCGGTTGGGGTTGTCCAAGCATCTCTGGGGGCAGATGTCCACCAGCCAGCTGGGAAACTGAGTGGGCAGGAGAGGAAATGAGTCTCCACCCAGAGATGATGATTGGAGGTGTGGGGGTGAGCGCTGTGGCCGAGGGACAAGAGGGTTGAGGACTGAGCCTGTGGGCAGGGGAGAGAGGAGCATCTGGACAGCGGGCGACTTCAAGTCAAGGAAGCACTTTCAGTGGGGAGGGGGACCAGGAAGAGACGGCCTCTCTCAGGCTTCCATTGGCCCCAGCCCAGCCCCCCGAGTGAGAACTGTGAAGAGATGGCTCTAGCCTCATGGTGGGGCAGGTCCAAACTTAGTGTGGGTCACAGTCCAGCTCTGCAATGTGCAGTCTGAACCTTCGGAAGATTCAGTTTGCTCATCTGAAAAAGAGGGTAATGATTCCTGCCTTGTAGGTTACTGTGTGGATTCAGTGAATCACTGATGCGGACGATGAAGGACTCACTCAGTCAACATTGGCTACTCTTATCACTGAGACTTGCAGAGGGAATGGGAGTTGAGGAGGTGGATGGAATAAGTTCGATGATGCTGGGAAGGAGAAAGAGCTCAGGTCCTGGCAGAAGGGGAAGAGGAAATGAGGGCAGCAGAAACCAAAGTGGGCCTTAAAGGAGGGCACTGCACGGGGATGGTGATGCACACTGGCCCTGGCCTGGCCTGTCAGTGGGGTCCCACACCCGTATCCAGAGGCACAGCTAGATAAAATGGTTGAGGAGGTGGTGGGGTCTGCAGAAAGTGAATCTTAAGATGGGGAGCGTCTGAAGACATAGAAGAGCAACTAGCAACTGGCAGGACCCACGGTATGGGGGTCAGAGGGGAGAGGAGCCTGGAACTTCCTTTCCCTGGAGTCAGGAGGGACATCTGGCAGTCCCAGCAAGCACGGCGGGAGCTCGAATCTGGGGACCAGTGAGAGGGCCTCTGACCTCGCAGGCCTGGATGAGAGTTGGGGCCCCTGCAGGGACTCCACGCTTCCCATGAGAAGTGGGATCTTTGAGCCTTCTCAAGAGCAAACCTTACATTTTAGTACAGCTCTGACAGCCTGGCCTCCCGGGAGCACTTGGAAACAGGGGTGTCCCCTCCCCCAGCCTCCAAGGACCAGGCTGCAATTTCAGGAGAGACAAGCTGGAGGTTGCCTTCTGCATTGCTGAGAATGAACGCCCTTTGCACACTGTGAAAGAAAGGCTAAGCTAAAATTGATAGACAGGAGTTCCAGGTAGTTTTCACAAATGAGTCCCCTGGTTCCGCAGAATGAGGTGATGCTCAAAATATTTACCAACCAGCATGGCTCAGGCATTGACCAATCAGGATGGAGGTAGCTGATTTAGGGGTTGGGGGTTACTGGTGTCACATGTGGGCTCTGCCGCCAGGATCCCTTCCTCTTCCTTCCGCCGGGATCCCTTCCTCTTCCTTCCAAGGCAACATTCCTTCCGAGGCAACAGCCACATCTCAGGGCTGCTGCAGTCTGCTCCTTTGCTTGCCTGGGAGAGTCAGAGATGAGGCCTGTGGGTTGTGTGTGTGGCTGCATGGGTCAGCGTGCCTCCTCCCACTTGGGCACTGTGGTGGGAGGGACAAGTCATCTCATACTTCATCTCTCTGGACACTCCCAGGCTAGCACTGAAACTGGAGGCCAAAGGACAGCCCCAAACCCAGGGCACTTTGTGCTGCCAAAGATCACCACCTTTGCCCTAGGCAACCTGGAACTGAAGGTTTTCTCCGGCCTCTTGGTCCGGGGCACTTGACATGAATGCCCTTTCCCTGACCCCTGTCCAGCCCTGAGTGGCTCCCCAGCTGGGTGTGGGCTGGCTAGAGGGAGCTGCGGACCGAAGCCAGCAGCACCGAGGCAAGCCAGGATTTAAACTGTCAACTGCCGAGCCAGCTCTACTGGAACTTCCTTTGTGTGGCTGGACCTGCTCCCACAACACCCGTCAGTTCACGTAGAGGGAGCTCCCGCAGGACTCAGCTCCTTCGGGGTGTTTTTTGCTGAGATTCCCCTTCTGAGTTCCCGGCCTCTAGCTGCCTCTTCTCCACCATTTGGGCCCTGCCTCAGCCCTAGAAACTGTCAAGCAGCCCAGTAGCTGTTTAAAGTACATAATGATATTACAGGGTTGGAAGGAAATCCTTGGGTCCAGACCCTGTGTCAACCAGGTGAGGGTTACGGTGACACTACCTGGCCTTGCAGCCTGAGCCTGGTACAGGTTGACACCCTGAAGCAAGTCCTCCTTGTCAGGTCCCGCCCAAGCCTTCTTGTCAGCCCAACTGGCTCAGCCCCAGCCCAGCTCTGCCCAACTGCCCTGGGCTCCCCTGCCCTGGAGAGGCCAAAGGCCACCCTTTCTCTGGGTGTCACAGCTCCCCTTTGCTCTGGGCCCACAGTCCCCGGCATCCCCAGCCCCTGTCTTCTCATCCCTGACACGAGTTTCCCTCCCTGAGAACTCACTGCCCCCCAGCACCAGATCCTGCACGATAGTCAGTGGTCCTGGAGCCCACATGTCACCACTGCATCCTCCACCCCAGTGTCCCTGCCCGGACACCACCACAACCCCTCAGGCCCCTCAGCAGTGTCTCTGCCTCCCCCTCTGTCTCCTTGTGGCTCATGTCATCGCTCCACCGCAGAGTGAACCACCTCATGCATTCATCAGACCCCCACTGCCCTGCAGCCTTTAAAGCCTCCCAAAAGCTTCCCACCAGCCTCAAAGAAACCCAAGGCCCTGCTTAGCTGCCCCCACCCACCCCACATCCTCATCTTGCACCCCTGCCTGGCTCCCTCCTTCCAGCCACACTGGCCTTTATGCTTCTCAAACCTGCCGGGCTCATTCCCACGCAGGGCCTTTGTCTTGCCATCCCCTCTGCCTCTGTCTTCAGGTCCCCCTTGCTCCTCACTTCTCTCAGCCTTCACCTGCAGAGGACTTCCCGGTCCCACCTGGCTGAAGCAGCCACTTCTCCCCTCACTCCCCATCCCTCACCCCACTTTGTCCTCTGTGGCGCTTGTCACCCGATATGACAGTGTGTGCCATGTCGACTCTCTTTTTCACTGTTGTTTTGCTGCTGCCTTGCTGGTGCCTGGGACAGTGCCTGACCCATATTCAGCTGTCAGTAAGTACGAGATTGCTCAACAAATCAATGAATGCATTCAACTCCTTCCATTTCCCTCTCAACATGCGTGAAGCTCCACGCTCTACTCAGCCTTGAGGGCAGGAGGCACTGTGTGGTGGGGGCACAGGCCCAGCTTCCTGTCTCACTGTGTGACCCTGAGCCAGTCCCTTATCTGCCCACTTCCAGGTGGTCAGAATGGTGTGTGAGAGGGCATTTTACTATGATACATAGTCCTAAAGCCCTGAAGGAGACGTGAACTTGGTTTGATCCTGCCTCTGCCACTTCCAACTGTGTGACCTTGGGCAACACACCTAACCTCTCTCTGTTGTGTTTCCTCAGCTGGGAAATGGGAACACAGCGGCTCCCTTGCACCAGTCAGGATTCCCAGTGCAAAGAGAACCAACCCAGAAAGGCACTCGCTGAAGGGCTGTGGGGAAGCTCTCACAGGCTCAAAGGGAAGGCGGAAAGCCTAGACTGAAACTAGCCAGGCTGCAGACAAAACCAAAAGTCCACCTGGCATGGTGGCTCACACCTGTAATCCCAGCACTTTGGGAGGCCAAGGTGGGCAGATCACGAGGTCAGGAGTTCAAGACCAGCCTAACCAACATGGTGAAACCCCGTCTCTACTAAAAATACAAAAAAAAAAAAAAAATTAGCCGGGCGTGGTGGCACATGCCTGTAATCCCAGCTACTTGGGAGGCTGAGGCAGGAGAATCGCTTGAACCTGGGAGGTGGAGGTTGCGGTGAGCTGAGATCGTGCCACTGCACTCCAGCCTGGGCAACAGAGCAAGACTCTGTCTCAAAAAAAAAAAATTCTACAAAATGCAAACCAATCTATAGTGACAGAAAGCAGATGAGTGGCTGCCTGGGAATGGAGTTGGGGAGACGGGTGGGAGGGAGGGACGACCAAGAGACTCAAGGAAACTTTTTTGAGGTGACCTGTCAGTGAATTATCCCTATCATACAGATGAGACAAATGAGGCTCTTTGGGATTAACTTACTTGCTGATGGTCACACAGCTGTGAAAGGTCAGGTCCAGAATGGGAGCCAGGTGTGCCTGAATCCAAACGCTGTGTGCTTTTTTTTTTTTTTTGAGACAGAGTCTCGCTCTGTCACCCAGGCTGGGGTGCAGTGGCATGATCTTGGCTCACTGCAACCTCTGCCTCCTGGGTTCAAGCAATTCTCCTGCCTCAGCTTCCTGAGTAGCTGGGACTATAGGCGCACGCCACCACACCTGGCTAGAAACCCTGTGCTTTTTAACCTTGGGTGGAAGGTGACTAGCAGACAAGGGGCCAGGAGTGAGGGTCCTTAGGATTGAACACGGGCTACACAAAGAAACCCAGAGATGGCCCCTGCTTAAACATGGTGTTCCAAAGAGTGACACGTGGGATGAAAACAAGGTGGGCTGAAGCCAGGCCCCACAGAGTTTTCAGAGCAGGTCCTGGTGCCCTGGGCGAGACGGCACAGAACAGCACCGCAGGGGGCTGGGGCCAACTTGGACTTGCTTGGGAGAGCCAGCTGTCCACATTTCAGTAATGTCATGGGTCAGTTGTCAAGCATAGCCATCATTAAAAATTAAATTGCATATGCTCACAAAGTATGTCAAAAGAGCAAAGGTAATATGCAACACTTACCACTTCCTGATTATGTTAACATGTTTGACTATCATTTCTGCTTTTGGGGTTATCCACGCCTCTTGTATCTGTGCGGTGGAGACATCATACCCTGGTGTGCCACTGGGCATCTGTTCCCAACTCCACATCCACAGCAGCTTGAAATTGGACAGGGCAGGGTTATTTATTTACACCATGGAAACTGGTAAATGCTAAAGTCAGGGCCAACGCCCTGCACCCTGCGCCCACTCTCTGCCGGTTGCTAAACACTTTTGTCATTACATCATTGAGCCCTAGGGTCTTGGGCCACCCCCATGGGGAGCAGGAGGCCTGGGACTGTGGCTGAAGGAGGACGCATGGAGTCAGAGGCTACGAGGCCCGGAACTGCCTGGAATGATGGTATAAGATGGCCAGGATGCACCGAGCCCTGCTGCCCGGCACGTTTCTCATGCATTTGCTCACTGCTCACTACCACCCTGAGAGGCAAAGCATCGTTACCATCTGCTGGTGGGGAAACTGAGGCACAGAGAAGTGACTTACCCAGGGCCACTCAGCTAATAAGTGTCACAGCCAAGATATGAAGCCTGATCCTTAACTGCCACGCTCTGCCCCCTTCAAAGGTACAAGTGTCGGACTGGGGATCTGGCCTAACCCTTCCCTGAAACCTCCAGCTGTGTGCAGGCCCCAGCCCCCAGAAGCCTGGAGTGAATTTCAGTGACCACTCAGCCTGTGGCCCCGCTTCCCCTGTAGGCAGCCAGTAGTGGGAGCCACGTTTCATGCAGATCTGAGGGCTAGGGAGGCCAGATGCAGGTGGGCCTCTTCCCAAGACAGTCGGGGTCCTTTCTCCAGGTGCCCTGGAGCAATATGGGCCAAGTTGGGTGGGTGGAACCGCTACGGCCTCCTGAGGGCTCAGAAGAAGAGAAATTCCAGGAATGCAGCCACCTGAGGGACCGCTCAGGTGACAGAACCCCCGAGCACCACCAGCCCGTCCTCAGCCCTCTTTTACTGGCAGTCTGCCTTATGCCGGTGCCGGGCACACTCAGGAGGGAGCAGACTCCATGCGGGGGAGCCTGCCGCCAGTCCCCCTCCCAGGGGAGAGAGGCAAGGGGGCTGCTGCAGGTCCAGGGAAAGGCTGATGCATTGATGGTGGGAGAGGAGGCAGCGTGATGCTTTGCATGGAGTTTGACCTTGGCATTGGTGGAGTCCTGAAGGATTTTCAACAATTTAGGGGAGAGAGAGGGAGACAGTGACATCTCCAAAAGGTCAGTCCGGCTGCCAGTGGAGCAGAGGTTGTGGTGAGGGCAGGGGGACCACCTAGGAGGCTGGAGTGGCCAGTGAGCGGCTGCCGCGTCCTCCCCTAAGGCAGAGCACAGGGCAGTGGCTGCAGAATTGAGCAGAATTGAGGCCTATTGGATAGGGGACAGGGAGGCAAAGAGCCTGATGGGCGTGGCACCCTTGGCCAAGGTGTAGGGGCAGGATGGCAGGGTCAGGTTTGGAGGTATATTTGAGAGCCCCCAGGATGCCCGGTTCAGATGACTACAAGGAGCTGGTTCTGTGGAGGGGGCTGGGCAGGACGTCTTAGGCCATGGGTGAAAATGGAGGATGGTGTCCAGGGAGATGGTGAACCCGTGGGAGTGGGTGGGACATCCGTGATGGAGAAGAGGAGACCTCATGCCCAGGACAGATCGGAAGGCATGAGGTCTCCTCTCCCACCCCCACCCAACCCCCTCTGTAGAGGGGACAGCTTGGAGGTGTGAGCCACACCACCTGGTCAAAGACCCACTAAGACAATCCCTGGGGGGCTCCTCTCCAAGGGCTTCTTAAGGGCTGGGCATTGCTAAATGCTGTACAGGATTTTTCTCATTTAATTCTTACAACAGCCCCAGGGATTGTCCCCATTTTACAGAGGAAGCTGATGGCTCAGGCGTGAGTAACCACCCCAGGCCAGTGCCCAGCTTGTGTCAGACCTTCTGAGGAAGCCAAGTCTGTCTGACCACAAAGCTGCCTCCTACCCAGCATTCCTCTGCAGGGTCCCTGCCCTGCCCTGCCCTGGGGGACTCCTGGGGGAACCACATCCGTGCTTAGGTGTGGCATCCAGGGGGCACTGGGGAGGGAGCCCGCCGAGGGGTGCCATGCGGGACTTGGCGTCCCCACCTGCCTGGTCCATTCCTCCCCCCACCCCACTCTGCCCTGCCCTGCTGCCACCTCAGGGACCTCTGTGGGCTCTAGGTCCTTTCCATCCCTTCCACAGCCTGGACAACAACAGGCCCTTTCCCACTTCCTGAGAAAGTTCCCAAAGAAGTTCATTGTAAAAGCTACTCTTTGTCTTTTTTTTTTTTCCAAAAAATGTGTTTTTAATCAATTTTATAATAAAATCCAAACTGAGTTCTTGAAAACAACAGCAATAAGAAATTGAAAAAAAAAATCTCAGTGCCAGGAAGTACTGACTCTAGCACTGCCCTCCCCAGCCCCAGCAGCAGCCCTGGTGCCCCATTCCCCTGACTCCCTCCCCCACTGCTGGTCACCAGGCCTCCTGAAGCCACCTCTGGAATATCCCTGAACTGCTCTCCTTCTGTCTCTGGAGGGCACCCCACCCCCCCACCCGCCACCAACTGCTCTTCCTGCCTCCTACCTGGCACCCTTCCAATCTGGTCCCCAAACTGTCCCCAGGGGCTCTCTCTAAAAGGCAAACCTAATTCCATCAGTGTCCTTTTCTCCAACTTCATCAGGGATTCAGGATTCCCAGGAATAGAGCTCAATTCCCTAGCTCGGCATTCAGGGCTCCACTGTCCCTGAGCACTCCAGCCTCCCCCTCGCCATGCACCGGACCCCCTGCTTTTGGAAATGTTGGTCCCTCTGCTACGGACACCCTCCCTCCACCTGTCCATCTGACAATGCACCTCATTCCTCAACAGTGCCCCATGGACACTCACCTTCTCCTGCCCTCCCTCGTCACAGTGTGGGGGTTTCTGTCATCTCACCATTCTATCCAGGCTGACCTCGAAGGCCTGGGCTCCAGCGATCCTCCCACCTCAGCCTCCTGAGAAACTGGAATGACAGATGCACACCATCATGCCCTGCTTTGGTTCTTTAGTTCGCCCTATATGTGCCAAGTCCTGTGCTAAGTGCTGCATACAGTGGAAAACAGCGCAGGCAGGAACCCTGCGCCCACGGAGCTTATTATCCCTGCTGTTGTTGCCCAGGTAGACCAGTCATCCTCGGTGCACGGGAGCCACGCATACACACAGCTGACCAAAGTGCCTGCAGGCAGCCTGTGCTGCTTAAGCTTGTGGGGAGAGGGAGGTTTAGAAACAGCTGCTCCCGTCCTCACCAAGGGACTCCAGCCTAGAGAAGGAGTCTTTGGGGAAAGTCCCCCACTAAGCTGCCACGCCCTGAGATCACGCACCCTCTCCCAAGGGCTCTTCCGAGCACCACGTGGGGCTGAGTTACTGAGATGGAGGTGGCAGCAAGGGATGCCACGCAGGATGAGCAGGGAGGCATCATTCTGAGTCCTGCCTGCCCCTCCCACTTCCACCTTTTCTTTTCTCTCTTTTTTTTTTTTTTTTTTTTTTGAGACAGAGTATTACTCTGTCGCCTGGGCTGGAGTGCAATGGCACGATCTCAGCTCACTACAACTTCTGCCTCTTGTGTTCAAGCAACTCTTGCGCCTCAGCCTCCCAAAAAGCAGGAATTACAGGTGCATGTCACCACGCCCGGCTGATTTTTGTATTTTTAGTAGAGACAGGGTTTTGCCATGTTGGCCAGGCTGGTCTTGAACTCCCGGCCTCAAGCAATCCAACCTCCTCTGCCTCCTAAAGTGCTGGAATTGCAGGTATGAGCCACTGCACCTCACCCTTTAAGCAGTATTTTAATGGTTTTGTAGTGGTGGGTGGTTGCTATGAAAATCTCACGTTTGTTCTAACAATTCAAAGAATAAACAAGCATATAAGGAAAAAATGGATAGTCTCTCCCCTGTCTCCCTCCCCCAGCCCACCCCTGGCTCAAGTCAACCTCACTGAGGCAGAGTGGGTTAATAATTTGGCAAGTTCATTTCCATTTCATCCCAGCACTCATGACAATACACCCGAATGACGCACCCAGAGAGAGGACCCTGCAGCTTTGCTGGGTCAGACAGATGTGGCTTCCTCGGAAGGTCTGACACAAGCTGGGCACTGGCCTGGGGTGGTTACTCACGCCTGAGCCATCAGCTTCCTCTATAAAATGGGGACAATCCCTGGGGCTGTTGTAATAGAGGGTGAGATGAAATGCATTGCTTGGAACTTGCTTTTGAACTTAAAAATGTACGAACAGACATCATTCCAAGGTGATACATACAGAGTTAGCACACACGCTCTGTGACTGTGTACACTGTTTCCTGTGGACCTTTATTCACTTGTTTAAAGGGTGCTCTACAGACATTTTGGCTTATTTTTCTTCTCGAACAAGGAATGCTCTAATAAGCCTCCTCCTGCATGAATGGTTTAAGCAGTAGTTTCGTTACTCCCTGGGTTTAGGATAAATTCCCCAAAACAGGATCACTGGATGAAAGGGTAGCTGTGGTTAAATTGTGAATAGGGCTTGCCATTTTATTCATAGCGATTCCCATGTGCCCCAGGACTGTGGGGGGATCCCAGTTCCCCACACCCTGGCCGACTCTAGATGTTATCCGTTGGTCTAGACCTTGGCCAACATCATAAGTGAAAACTGACATCTCATTGTTTTGAAATTGTGTTTCCTGAGTATGACTAAGGTTAAACATCTTTTCACCTGTTAGTTGGCTTTTAAAATTTCCTCCTCTGTGAAGTTTCAGATCTAATCCTTTGCCCGGTTTTCAGTTGTGTTGTTTTTATTTTATTTTATTTTCCCAAGTCCTATTCTGCCCTAATGTTTGTTTGTTTGTTTATTTATTTATTTTGAGACGGAGTCTCACTCTGTTGCCCAGGCTGGAATGCAGTGGCATGATCTCGGCTCACTGTAAGCGCCGCCTCCTGGGTTCACGCCATTCTCCTGTCTCAGCCTCCGAAGTAGCTGGGAGTAACAGGCTACCACCACCACGCCCGGCTAATTTTTTGTATTATTATTATTTTTTTTTTAGTAGAGACGGGGTTTCACCATGTTAGCCAGGATGGTGTTGATCACCTGACCTCGTGATCCTCCCGCCTCAGCCTCCCAAAGTGCTGGGATTACAGGCGTGAGCCACTGCGCCTGGCCTGTTTTTATGTCTTTTACAAACACCTTGTAGGACCTTTTTAGGACATTATTGATATTAATCTGTTGTTGTTTATATGTGTTGCAAATATTATTGTCCAGTGTAATATTTGGCTTTTGCCATACAGAAGTTTGTATATATTTAAGTTTTCCTTTTGTTATGGAAATTTGAAAACACACTAAAAAATAACAGTAATAATGAACCCTCAATATACCCATCTCTGAGAGTCAACAGTTAGCAACATATAGCTAATTTTCCCCTGTTATGGAGGGTTCTTTTTGACTTTGCTTGTGGTGGTTGTGCAATGCAGAGATTTTTACCTTTATGTAGTCAACTGTAGCGGTCTTTTCATTTGTGGAGTATGGATTTCATATACCTAAAAAGGTCTTCCCACTCCACGATTATTAGCAAAACAAAACAGAAAGTACTCTTTCAATACTTCTAAAATATGATTTATTATTATTATTATTATTATTATTATTTTGAGACAGAGTTTCGCTCTTGTTGCCCAGGCTGTAGTGCAGTGGCGCGATCTCGGCTCACCGCAGCCTCTGCCTCCTGGGTTCTAGTGATTCTCCTGCCTCAGCCACCTGAGTAGCTGGGATTACAGGCATGCGCCACCATGCCCGGGTATTTTTGTATTTTTAGTAGAGATGGGGTTTCTCCATGTTGGTCAGGCTGGTCTCGAACTCCCGACCTGAGGTGATCCACCTGCCTCGGCCTCCCAAAGTGCTGGGATTACAGACGTGAGCCACCGCGTCCAGCTATGATTTATTGTTTTTAGAATGGTAGCATAGTACTTTTTTCATATAGAAGCCCATAATTTATTTAACCAATCCTCCATTACTGAACATCTAATTGTTTCTGATTTTCCCCTATTTTAAATCATGCTGTATTGAGCATTCCTGACTTCTCCACCCCTTCTGGATTAGGTCAAAGCAAACCTGAGACATCAAATCATTTCATCCACAAATATAAGTTTATAATTTTTATTTATTTTTTTTTTGAGAAAGAGTTCTGCTCTTGTCGCCCAGGCTAGAGTGCAATGGTGCGATCTCAGCTCACTGTAATCTCTGTCTCCTAGGATCAAGTGATTCTCCTGCCTCAGCCTCCTGAGTGGCTGGGATAACCGGTGCCTGCCACCATGCCCGGCTAATTTTTGTATTTTTAGTAGAGACAGATTTTCACCGTGTTGGCCGGGACTCCTGACCTCAGGTGATCCACCTGACTCAGCCTCCCAAAGTGCTGGGATTGTAGGCATGAGCCACTGCGCCCAGCCAAGTTAAAAAAAGTTTTTAAAATAGAGATGGGGTCTTGCTATGTTGCCTTGGCCTCAATCGATGCCCCTGCCTCGGCCTCCCAAAGTGCTGGGATTACAGATGTGAGCCACCTCACCTGGCATTCAAATTTTTATATTATAGCCAGGCGCAGTGGCTCACGCCTGTAATCCCAACATTTTGGGAGGCCAAGGCAAGTGGATCACCTGAGGTTGGGAGTTTGAGACCAGCCTGACCAACATGGAGAAACCCTGTCTCTACTAAAAATACAAAATTAGGTGGGTGTGGTAGCACACGCCTGTAATTCCAGCTACTCGGAAGGCTGAGGGAGGAGAATCGCTTGAACCCAGGAGGCGGAGGTTGCAGTGAGCCAAGATTGCGCCATTGCACTCCAGCCTGGGCAACAAGAGCAAAATTCCATCTCAAAAAAAAAATTATATTATAAAGCCTGTTAATCTTCTGGTCTTTCGTCTTCACTTTTAATTTTATTTATATTTTGATTAGACACGGTATTCACATGGTTCAAGATTCAAGAGAACAAAAGGATATGCTGAAAAATGCGTTTCCCACCCTGTTCTCCAGCTCCAGTTTCCTTCCTGGGAAACAACTCGTGTTATCAGCGCGTGCACATATAAAAGCAAATTGTGTGTCTCTGTGCTTTTTCCATTTAAGTACAATTGATAAACGACTTGAACACGGCTCTGCGTCTAGGTTTTATTACTAAACAACCTGTCCTGGGGAGCGTTCTGTAAGGAGAATCCTAGTTATTTTTGATAGCCATATGCATTCCATTGCAGGGCATACAATAATCATTCATTTATCCCATCTCTATTGGTGGACATTTAGGTTGTCTCCAGCTATTAGATTGGTGCAAAAGTCATTGTGGTTTTGGCTCAATGTTGCAGCGATGCAGTGGAAAGCCTTGTGTATTCCTTTCACTTACGTGTGAGCATTATCTGTAGGATAAATTTCTGGAAGTGCCAAGTCAAACAGGACATGTGTTTATATGTTTGATAAATACTGCCCAAATATTCTCTTTTGAGGTCGAGTCAGTCTACACACCAACCAGCAATGCAGGGGGTTGCCTGTTTTCCTCCCACCCTTGCGAATAGTGTGTTACCAAACTTTTTTTTTTTTTTTTGAGACAGGGACTCACTCTATCGCTCTGGCTGGAGTGCAGTGACACGATCATGGCTCACTGCAGCCTTGACTTTTCAGGCTCAAGCAATCCTCCCACCTCATTCTTCCAAGTAGCTGGGACTACAGGCACGTGCCACCACGCCTGGCTAATTTTTTTTTTTTGGTAGAGACAGGGTTTTGCCACGTGGCCCAGGCTGGTCTCGAACACCTGGTTTTAAGTGATTCTCCTGCCTCAGCCTCCCAAAGTGCTGGAATTACAGACATGAGCCACTGTGCCTGACCTACCAAACTGCTTTTTATCTTTGCTGATCTGGTAAGTGAAGAATAGTATCTTTTGTAGTTATAATTTTCATTTTCTTAATAAGTGAGTTATTGAACATCTTTTTACATGTTTATGAGCCCATGAATTTTCTTTCTGCAGGAGCAAGCACTGTCTCTTCATCTTTTTTTTCACAGGGGGTGGACAGAGTCTCTCTCTGTTACCCAGGCTGGAGTGTAGTGGCGCAATCTCGGCTCACTGCAACCTCCACCTCCCGGGTTCAAGCGATTCTCCTGCCTCAACCTCCCCAGTAGCTGGGATTACAGGCACCCACCACCATGCCCACCCAATTTTTGTATTTTTAGTAGAGACAGGGTTTCACTGCATTGGCCAGGCTGGTCTCGAACTCCTGACCTCGTAATCTGCCTGCCTTGGCCTCCCAAAGTGCTGGGATTACAAGCATGAGCCACCACGCCCAGCCCACTTAGGCTATTTCTGATTTTCCAGTATTATAAGTAATACTGCAGTGAAAAGCCTTGCATATAAATATTCTATTTCCTTAGGCTAAATTTATTTATTTTTTTGAGACAGTCTTGCTCTGTAGTCGAGGCTGGAGTGCAGTCATGTGATCTCAGCTCACTGAAGCCTCTGCCTCCCAGGTTCAAGCGATTCTCGTGCCTCAGCCTCCCAAGTAGGTGGGACCACAGGCATGCGCCACCACACCTGGCTGATTTTTGTGTTTTAGTACAGACACAGTTTCACCAGGTTGCCCAGGCTGGCCTTGAATTCCCGACCTCAAGTGATCCACCTGCCTTACAGGCATGAGCCACCACGCCCAGCCTCTTCAGGCTAAATTTCTGAAAGTGATCTTCATTCCTAACCCCAAACTGCCCTCCAGAAAGCTGGGTTGCACTTCTGCCACAGCAGGATCTTTACTCCTCTTAAAATCTCCGCGGAGCCTGGGTGGGAGAGGCAGAGCTCCGGGGGGAAGATTCTCTCCTGGCCTGATGTAGTGTTTTCCTTGGCTTGTCAGACATGGAGGAGATTATGCCAGATATGATAGTGGAGAGAGTCAGACATGCATGAGACTGGAGAGAGAAAAAAAACAAAATAGCCTCTGAGGTCTCACTCACAGCCTACTTACTCTTACTTTACACACAATTCTATATTCCGATATGTTTGTGACCTGGTTTTTAAGAGTACAGAGCAAATTAGGAAGGAGAAGCAAGGCTGCTACCTAGAGGTACCCTGGTCCTCCATGAAGTTTCCAAAAGAAGAGCAAGTGCAAGTAAAATAATAAAACACAGCCAGTCACAAAGCCATCAATTTGGACCATGCAGTGCAAGGCTTTAACTGTCCCAAGGATTCCAATCATGGATAAGGAAGAGCTTAAATTTGATTATAAATCTGAAAGTCTGGAAGTCAGCTTGAATATTGTGGTAGACATAATCATATCCTCCTCCTCAAAAGATGCCCTGGTTCTAATGCCCAGAATCTGTGAATATGTTATGCTACCCCACGAAGGGAAATTACAGTTGCAGGTGGAATTCAAGTTGCCAATCCATTGATTTAAAATAGAAAGATTACCCTGGATTATCTGGGTAGGCCCGATGTAATCACAAAGATGCTCACCAGTGGAAGCAAGAGGCAGAACAGTTGGTGTCAGAGTGACAGATTGTGAGAGACTGGTGGGCCACTGCTGGCTTTGAAGATGGATGGGGCCACCAGCCAAGGAATGTGGGCAGCTTCTAGAAGCCAGAAAAGCCAAAGAAACAGGTTCCCTTCCAGCCTCAAGAAAGCTGTATCCCTCAACCCCCTTGCTTTTAGTCCAGCGAGACCCATTTTGGACTTCTGATTTTACAAAACTTGTAAGATAGTAAATTAGTGTTGTTTTATGTTTGTGTTACGGCAGCCACAGGGAACCAATACAAATATTATCTGGTACCGCCCATTAAAGCTGCTCAGAGACAGGGAGCCCCACCCTGGCGGGGCTCCGGTGGCTGCACAACCTCTGCAAGCAGGATCAAGATGAGAGGCGCAGGCCAGGTGTGGTGGCTCACTCCTGTAATCTCAGCACTTTGGGAGGCCAAGGCGGGCGGATCACTTGAGGTCAGGAGTTCGAGACGAGCCTTACATGGTGAAACCCTGTCTCTACTAAAACTCCAAAAATTAACCAGGCGTGGTGGCGTGCACCTGTAGTCCCAGCTACTCGGGAGGCTGAGGCAGGAGAATCGCTTGAACCCAGGAGGAGGAAGTTGCAGTGAGCGGAGAAAGTGCCACTGCACTCCAGCGTGAGCGACAGAGCGAGACTCTGTCTCAAAAACAAATAAAGGAAAAAGAAAAAAATGAGAAGCGCGTGTTCCCGACTCCGGTGCTTTTTCGCAAGGTCGTGCTACTGCGCCTTCTGAACTACGAGTCCCAGGTACCAAGAAAGTTGAATTGCGTGCTGTGGCGGGTCCGTTATCTGCACCACCCGTCTGCACGGGATGCGCTGGCTTCCTGCCCCGGATGCACAAGGCTCCCTGCGGGACACTCAGGGCGAGGCTCTGAGCCCCTCCCCCGCGGCAGATGCCGTCCAGATGTGGCCGGCGGGTCCCGCGGGCTGCGGCGACAGGGACCCCGTCGGGGGCAGCAGGAGCCCTGGTGCATCCCAGGCCCCGGGGGGAAGGCCGGGCCGTCGGAGGAGCGGAGGAGCCCTGGGGGGCTCCCGGGAAGCCGCGGGCGGACGGGGGAGGAGCCCGGGCGGAGCTGCGGGCGGGCGGCCCGCTAGGGGTGAATCGGGTGGAGTAGTGGTCGGGTCCGGTTACTTCCCTTTAAAAAGACGGGAAAGGAGGAGTCCAGTGCTGGAGGGGCAGGGACGGCGGCGGCGCAGCTCGGAACCCGCCAGGGTCCAGGGTCCAGGTTCCAGCGCCCGGCGGCCCAGGCAAGTGGGGCGGGAGGGCGGGGGCTGCGGGCGCGGGTAGGGGTCGTGGGGCAGTTGGGTGCGCGGGAACCGAGGGAGCTGCAGACCCAGCGCTTGGCGCGTGCGGAGCTGGACTTCTGCGGCCGCGACGCCCCTCTTCCCAGATGGGTAAACTGAGGGCCAGGGAAAGCGAAGAATTCTTTTGGCCGAGCTCCCACTACGATCTCGCGGTCAAGTGGGTCCCCAGCGGGCCTCGCAGGGGTCGGAGGGGCTCCCATCTGGGGAGGGGGCCCCAGGGTGGGCGAGGGCGACGGGAGCCTGGGGAGGACGGACGGGGAGGGCGGCGGAGCGGAGCTAAGCTGCGGCGGGTGGACCCGGCTCGGCCGCGGCCACTCTGTCCCTGGTGGGTGGGGCGCGGCCGAAGGCAAAGGGCGAACCCGGCCCGCCTGTGGGGTCTCTGGCCAACACTGGGCTCAGAGGCCCTTTCTTTAACCTTAGATCTCGCTCCTCGGTCTAAAGCCTCCGCCGCAGCTCTCAGTGAAGAGGAAGGGGAACTCTAGGTGCTCAACGCCCGCGTTACAGTCGCGTTCTCCCTCGCTCCTACAACCCGGCCAAGATGCCGGGGCATGGATGGGGACCGAGGTTTGGGGGTTGTGGAGCCTATTCCACGCCCTCCCTGGTGAGCAACTGAGACAGATCCAGGGCCCCATTGCAATCCACTCTTGGTCTGGGAAAAGGTCCCCTAAACAGGGCCAATGGGATCCTTTCCCCAAATGACTCCAGAACGCACCCCCCCCCCCCAGCAGTGCGGTGGGCAGGGACGGCCCAGGTGGGCTATGTCCTGGGGTTTTGTGACTGGATCCCCACTCCTCCCCCACCTCAGCCCCTGGACTGCAACCCACCAGGCCGTGTTCGGGGGTGGTCAGAGCCCTGGTCTCAGCCAGACCTGAGGTCTGATGTGGCTTCATCCCTGAGTCTCTAAACGCCCTGGCCTTACTGGGCCTCAGTTAATTCACCTGTGAAAGGGGAGGCTTGGACCAGAGGGCCCCTCAGGGTATGTGTTTTGTGGAGGGGAGGTGGGCGTGTGGGGTAGGGGTGACCAGGAGGAAGTGGGGACAGCCTCTGTCCCACAGGAAGGCTGGCTAGCCCCAGTGGGTATGGGGGAGCTGGGCAGGGAAGAGGGTGGACTCCCCTCTCCCTGTGGGAGGGTGTGCTGGGCCCATGAGGCCCTCATCCACTCTCAGCCACCTTCCTGTGGAGCCCTAGCCTCGAAGGCCACACTATGAGTGCAAGGAGGCCACCCACAGCGCTGCTCCCGCTTCACAGGTGGGGAAACCGGCCCAGTGTCTTGAGGCAGCCCAGCCGCCTGCCCTGTGCTTCCCCCAGAGCCTTCTGGGGAATGAGACCTTCGTTACACGCTGGCGCTCCTTACACCCCTACAGCCTTTAAGCTAAGGCCTCCAGCCCCATCGCTGTAAGAATTGTATGCTAGGCATTCTGAGGACATAGATGGGGGTCCCCATGTCGGAAGGAGCCAAGGTGTTGGAACTGGGTCCAGTTCCTGGGCTGGCTCTGGTGGGAGATCTGGAACCCTATGCTGGGGCTCCTGGACAGCCCTGGAGGCATGGCATGGACAGTGTGTCAGCCGCACACCGAGGCCCTGGGGTGTCCTTATTCACATAGGCTGGCAGCCATCTATCCCTAGCCCGGGCTTCACCCCGGGTGCCTGTCACTCCTGGCCCTACAGTGGTCCCAGTCACACCTTGGAGGCAAGATGTGGGTCCTCCACAGGCCTGTGTCTGGAAGCAGCCCCCAGCACTCCCTGGCTAACAAGTTCTACTTCTGAGAACTACCCCCAGCTCCCAGCCCTGGTCTGGCCAAATGGGTGCGTGTCTTCTCCTGTGGTCTTCAACTCCCCTTGGCACGGCCACAGTAGATGTGAGGGGCTGTATGGGAGGACATTTTTAGGAGGCATATGTAGTTAAGCTGTGGAACCTGCTGCTAACTAGCTGTGTGGCCTTGGGCAAATCACTTAACCTTTCTGTGCCTCAGTGTCCTCATTTGCCAAATGGGGGTGATTATCCTGGTAGGGCACATAGTAGGTGCTCAGTTTCACCTACCATGTGTCTCACCAGGATAATCACCCCCCATTTGGCAGACAGGAGTTGCCAGGCAGGATCTGTGGCCCCACACAAACCCTATGTGTACTTCCCCCACCCACAAATGCCTCTGCTCCTTCCTCCTGTGTGCCCTGCATTGGGCTGAAGAGGCTGATGAGAGGCAACTTCCCATTGGGGCCTTCTGAGGTTCTTGCAGGAGGGGCAATGTCCAAGGCTCCCAGAGGAAGCACCCTGGGGTGATGCAGCTATGGGCGGAGGCCTCAGAAGCCTGGGAGAAAGCCAGGGGCCTGCGGGGACAGAGTGTGCCCTGGCCCAGGCCCAGCCTCGTCCCTACCCTTCTCGCTCACTGCTCCCTCAGAGCAGACAATGAGCCCCAGGTTGTCCCTGAGCTCCCAGTCTCATAGTTCACAGTCAGGGACACTGAGTGGGAGTGGGTGGGGCCTACCCAAGGACCCAGTGGTCGGGGATGGAGCATGGATAACACAGCAGCTCACCCGGCCACGGGTGCTCAGCTCTCCCGGCCACAGCCCCTCCCAGGCTCCTGGAGTCTTCATATTAGAGTAGAAAGCCTCTTGCACTTCACATCTGAGACCAAGGAGCCTCTCCCCACCCACAAGTGTGGGTGTCTTCCACACTGTGACTGTGACTTAGTTATGCCCTGGCATGATCGTTGTCAACCTTCATGTTTTTTGGTTTTGGCTTTGGTTTTAGTTTAGAAGAACTTACGTTTTCTGGACTAAAACATAGGCAGGGAAGAAATACATAAACCCATAGAAAGGCTGCTTTAGTTGAAGTGGGTTGAGAGCTCGGCTTCTACCCCGTCAAGAAATTCACAGCGAAAGGAACACATGCATTTTGCTCACTGGCAGAAAGAGCCTGCACCAAAGACAACCCGCAGGGCCAGCAACCCCAACATCATACAGGGTGGAGCAGCAGTTCCCAAAGCGGGTGCAACTGGACAGGATCCTTTTAGGAGCTACCTAGAGGAACAATTTTTTCTTTTTTTCTTTTTTTTTTTTTTTTTACTTGAGATGGAGTCTCACTCTGTCGCCCAGGCTGGAGTGCAGTGGCACGATTTCGGCCCACTGCAACCTCCGCCTCCCGGGTTCATGCCATTCTCCTGCCTCAGCCTCCCGAGTAGTTGGGATTACAGGCGCCCACCACCACGCCCGGCTAATTTTTTGTATTTTTAGTAGAGATGAGGTTTCACCGTGTTAGCCAGGATGGTCTCGATCTGCTGACCTCGTGATCCGTCCGCCTCAGCCTCCCGAAGTGCAGGGATTACAAGCATGAGCCAACACGCCCGGCCCAGGAACAATTTTTAAACCAATAGTCATGAATTGTTAATATAAATTAACACATCCAACCATGATTTTATCGCTCAGAAGGAGGCTAAGAAAGTGAATTGATTTAAAGAAAAATACGAAGTAAATAATCACAAAGGTGGATCACGAAGGTGGTTTGTGCACAGCCCAGAAGCCCAGGAAGGAATGTCGGGTAGAGAGGGTGGAACCTGTCCCGAGGATCAAGGCTCTGAAGTTCCATCCTTAACTGCTGTCTCTCATTCTTGCACTGATGCCCCATTCCACAAGCACGTGTTGCCCTCCCACTGCACGCCAGGTGTAGAGGATACGGCACACCTGGTGCTACCCTCATGGAGGCACTTGGAGGGCTGCCTGGGGGCAGCACCACTGACTTGTGTCTCCAGGGCAAGTGGGGAGTGGATGAAGCAAAGGCAGGAAGCTTTCCAGGCCCAAGGATCAGCTTGTGTGTAGGGAGGAAGGGAGAATGAAGCGGGGAAAAGCAGGTTGGATTTGAACTGAAAGAGGCCACTGGGGTGGAGCACAGAAGTGACAGGGGAGAGCGTTTGAGATGAGGCCAGAGAATCACTGGGGGCTGGATCACACAGGCCCTGTAGGTCACGGCAAGGACTGTGGGTGTTGTCATTCATTTGGCCAACATGTATTGGGCTCCTGCCTTGTGCTGGGCATGGAGGGGCATACGATGCCACCAGGCCTTCCTTTGAGGTGCTTGGGTGCAGCAGCAGGCTTTTGAACACACTGGTAGCATTTTTCTTTTTCTTTTTTTTTTTTCTTTTTTGAAACAGAGTCTCGTTCTGTTGTCGTCCAGACTGGAGTGTAGTGGCACGATCTCCGCCCACTGCAACCTCCACCTCTTGGGTTCGAGCGATTCTTCCGCCTCAGCCCCCCAAGTAGCTGGGACTACAGGCGTGCGCCACCACGTCCAGCTAATTTTGTATTTTTATTTATTTATTTATTTATTTATTTATTTTTTGAGACAGAGTCTTACACCGTCCCCCAGGCTGGAGTACAGTGGCACAATCTCGGCTCACTGCAACCTCTGCCTCCCGAGTTCAAGCGATTCTCCTGCCTCAGCCTCCTGAGTAGCTGGGATTACGGGCACCTGCTACCATGCCCAGCTAATTTTTTGTATTTTTATTAGAGACGAGGTTTCACCATGTTGGCCAGGCTGGTCTCCAACTCCTGACCTCGTGATCTGCCCACCTCAGCCTCCTAAAGTGCTGGGATTACAGGCATGAGCCACCGCGCTCAGCCTCAGTGGCATTTTCCTAAGTGCTGTGATAGAGGTGGGAACTGGAGACTGGGGAAGCGCAGAGGGGAGTGGGGGCTGGTGTGCATGATAAGGCAGTGACATTGAGTTGGGTTTTGAAGGATGAGTAGGAGTTTGACAAGAGGGAGAGGAAAGGCATTCCTGGCAGTGGGAACAGAATGAGCAAAGTCACAGAGGTATGAAAAAGCCCCGATGATCTGGGGAGACGCTGGCAGCTGGAGCCACAGTGGGCAGTAGAAAGAGGACAGGCCAGAGGGTCAAGTTCACAGAAGGTATTAAGGCCCAAGCCAGAGTTAAGGTTTCACTCTGCAGGTTGGGCACCAGGTTTGAATGGGAGAGTCCCACCCACACTCTTAGGCAGAGCCCTCTGCTGACGTGTGCTGGTGGGGTTGGGTGACAGGGGAGGGTAGCATAGCCGCCACTGCCCGATGGGGTGTGGAGGTGGCCAGGCCTGGGCTGTGGCAGGGGACTGGACGAGGGAAGCCCTTTTGTGTGTTCCTGAAGGTGGGGGCTGCAGAGCATGGCTGTCTCTGTGCCCCCAGCCTGGGTTGGCCTGGTGCCTAGAGCAGGGACCTCTCATTATAGAGCCAACTTTGGGCTACCTGCTGCACCAACTTGGAAGACCAGAGGCCTTGTCCAGAAGAGTAAAGATTCCAGCCAGCTGGGCCTATGGTCTGAATCCAAAGCAAACAGGAAGAGAGTATGGTGGGCCAGGCAGGGCCTCTTTCTTTGTTTAGAAAAGGGATTAGTCCAGGCCGACTTGTGGGTCTTTCTGCTGCAAAGGTGGGAGGGGGCTGCAGGCTCCGTCAGGGACATATCAAAAGGCTTTTCAGGGGCAGGCATGGTGCCCCAGTGCCAGCCTGGGGGGTGCTGTAAAGATGGGCTCCCTTGGCGAATTCCATCCACCCTGATGGGAGGAGCCTGGCAGCATGTGCTGGGAGCCACTGCTCCTTCTCTCACCACGCCCAAGCTGGAGCCCTTCCTGACACCTGATTTCGCACGATTGCCCCTTGGGGTCATCACCCAAGCCTAATGGGGTGTCTGCTAGTCACTGCAGTGGGAGGTCCATCCTGGTCCCAGACCAAGGCCCCTTGGGGAAATGCCAAAGGCTCAGAACACCCTCAGTCTCAAAGGTGGGCACCCAGGACTCCCCTAAAGACCCTGGGCTCAGACTCGGCCTCCATACACCAGACGAGAGGCGGCAGGTATTTGTGTTTTGCTTATGCCTGATTGAACTAATCCACGTGTCCCTTCAGTTCACACATTGCATTTATTTAAGAAGCCTTCCTGCAAGCTCAGGGGTGGCAGGGGTGGCAGGGGTGGCAGACGAGTGAGGCCCTCAGGGAGCAGAGCTGAGGGAGCAGGAAGGCATGTGGGGCCCTGACATGCTGGGGCCTGGCACGAGTCCGGCCTGCCTGCCATGCTTGGAGAAGGGCTCAGAAGAGGCAGGCACTTCTTCTGGGGGCAGGTGTGGGGTGGGGACAAGCTGGGAGACAGAGGCCAGAAAGACTTTGGTAAGGAGTTTCTCCTGGACTGACTCATTCATTCATTTACTCAATCCTTCGTGCATGTGCGCATCCACTCAACATCTCAGTAATGAGGACCTACTGTGTGCCAGGCACTGTGCTAAGTGCTGGTGAGGCCCTGCTGTCATGGGGCCTGCAGTCCAGGACTCAAGTTATCACCACACAGATCAAAGGGAAAACCACGCTGAGTTCTGGGGCTTTGCAGAACAGGTCTGTGGAGCTAATGGAGCTCATAGGAGCTTGACTTGGTCAGGGAGGTCAGGGCGGCTTCGCTGCGGAAGACTTGTAGGATGGAAAGGAATTAACCAAGGCAATAGGGAAGAGAAGATCCAGGCAGAGGGAACAGGTTGTGCCAAGGCCCTGGGGCTTGATGAAGGCCAGAGTGGCTGGGGTACTGCAACAGGGGGGAAGAGGCCAGGAAATGGGCAGGCTGACTGTACCCGGGCTTGTGGGTGCCTTTAGAAGGTCTGGTCTGGACTCTACAAGCAAAAGGAAGGTTTTTTTTAGCAGTGGCATAAAATGATCCAATTTGTGTTGAGCAGGTTCAAGCAGGCCCGAATGGAGGCAGGGAGTCCATAGGGGCGCTGCTGTGTCCACATAAATGATGAGAATGGTTTTGACCAAGTGCATCTTGCGATGGGGGAATGTGGGTGAATTGGATGTGGAGTGAGGTCAGGCGGTGTCGAGGTCTGAGAAACTGGGCTGGTGGATGGGGAAAGTGACAATGAACATAATTTTCCTGTAAGGTGTGTATTTTATTTTGTATGGTAAGTAATATCTTCATTTCTACCAAGGATAGAAAGAGGCAATTGTTGAGCTTTGGGTAAGAAAGAAGGGAACGATTTTTTTCTTTTTTCTTTTGAGTCTCACTCTGTCACCCAGGCTGGAGTGCAGTGGTGCGATCTCAGCTCACTGCAATCTCTGCCTCCCGGATTCAAGCAATTCTCTGCCTCAGCCTCCCAAGTAGCTGGGATTACAGACGCCCGCCACCACGCCCAACTAATTTTTTTTGTATTTTTAGTAGAGACGGGGTTTCGCCATGTTGGCCAGGCTGGTCTTGAACTCCTAACCTCGTGATCCACCCACCTCGGCCTTCCAAAGTGCTAGGATTACAGGCGTGAGCCACCACGCCCAGCCGGGAATGATTTTTAATCATTCTACTATTTGGTGTTTAATATGTTTTCTCACTAAATCTGTTCAACAAACCTGAGAGGCAAATACTGTTATTTATTTATGAGGAGAGAGGTTCAGAAGGGTAAAGTTACCTGCTCAAGGTCACAGCTGGAAAGAGGTGAAGCCTTCAGCAAAAAAAGCAAAACAACTCATTTCATTTTATTCCGTGAGCTGATAATGGAGGAAAAAGTATTTGGCAAGAAGCGGCAGGGAGGGGAACCTGGAGGAACTCCCTGCTCTTGAAGAATGCAAGGGAGGCTGGGACCTTGTCACTGAGGAGCCCCTGGCATCCTTCCAGAGATGCAACCAAAGGGGTGACCCCAGTGTGTTCTTAATAGGAGCCGGGAACCCCTTCTCTGTGCACCTCCCACCTCTTGCCCCTGGGAAGTCCTTCCCTGACTCTAACCTCAGTTCTGATGCTGTTCCCACCCTCTCAGCTCTCAAGCAGATCAATGCAATGCCACCTGGCCGCTTGCTTTGCCCACTGGGCCTACAGCCGGAAGCCTGCCCTTCAGCCCTCGGGCCTGATCCCAGGCCGCCTGCAGCCTGTAACCAGACACTGTTTGCTTCCAGCAGGCACCCCCCGAGCCCAGCTCCACACACCGTTCCTGGATCTCCTCTCCCCAGGCGGAGCGTGCCCCTGCCCAGTCCAGTGACCTTCGCCTGTTGGAGCCCTGGTTAATTTTTGCCCAGTCTGCCTGTTGTGGGGCTCCTCCCCTTTGGGGATATAAGCCCGGCCTGGGGCTGCTCCGTTCTCTGCCTGGCCTGAGGCTCCCTGAGCCGCCTCCCCACCATCACCATGGCCAAGGGCTTCTATATTTCCAAGTCCCTGGGCATCCTGGGGATCCTCCTGGGCGTGGCAGCCGTGTGCACAATCATCGCACTGTCAGTGGTGTACTCCCAGGAGAAGAACAAGAACGCCAACAGCTCCCCCGTGGCCTCCACCACCCCGTCCGCCTCAGCCACCACCAACCCCGCCTCGGCCACCACCTTGGACCAAAGTAAAGCGTGGAATCGTTACCGCCTCCCCAACACGCTGAAACCCGATTCCTACCGGGTGACGCTGAGACCGTACCTCACCCCCAATGACAGGGGCCTGTACGTTTTTAAGGGCTCCAGCACCGTCCGTTTCACCTGCAAGGAGGCCACTGACGTCATCATCATCCACAGCAAGAAGCTCAACTACACCCTCAGCCAGGGGCACAGGGTGGTCCTGCGTGGTGTGGGAGGCTCCCAGCCCCCCGACATTGACAAGACTGAGCTGGTGGAGCCCACCGAGTACCTGGTGGTGCACCTCAAGGGCTCCCTGGTGAAGGACAGCCAGTATGAGATGGACAGCGAGTTCGAGGGGGAGTTGGCAGATGACCTGGCGGGCTTCTACCGCAGCGAGTACATGGAGGGCAATGTCAGAAAGTGAGTTCCGGCTGGGCTGCCCGGTGGGGTGGATCCGAGGTGCTGAGGCAAGGCTGGATTCTGAGGGCCAAGGAAGGACTTAGCTTGCAGGCCTTTGAACCCTGTGGAGCCCGAGACTGGCCCATTGCTTCACCTCCAGCTGCTGGCAAAGCAGCTGCAAATGCACCGAACTGGGAGGGCTTCCCCACCCCTCACCAGGGAGCTGGGGATGAGGGACAGAGCGTCCCTTGGACAGACAGGAAAACCGAGGCTCAGAGGAGAGAAACTCACCCGAGGTCCCTGAGAGCCTGCTGGCACCCCGAATCCAGAAGGAGCCCCAACCCCCACGAGTCAGCTGGCCTGGCAGGGCTCCGGAGGCTCCCGGCGAGGCGGGGGTGGGAGCAGGAGCAGGGGTTAGGCTGGGGCAGCCTTCCATGTACCCCTTTCCCTGCATGCCTGGTAGCATCCTCAGAGCCCCTCCCACACCCCCAGCTCTGGCACACCCTCTAACCTTCCTGTTGGGGCAGGGTGGTGGCCACTACACAGATGCAGGCTGCAGATGCCCGGAAGTCCTTCCCATGCTTCGATGAGCCGGCCATGAAGGCCGAGTTCAACATCACGCTTATCCACCCCAAGGACCTGACAGCCCTGTCCAACATGCTTCCCAAAGGTGAGTGGGCCCTGCCTGCGGCCACAGGGCCAGGGGGCAGGCACCCTGGGCTGGGGTGTGGGGCAGGAGGGTACGTCCTCACACACACATGCTCCCTGCCCAGGTCCCAGCACCCCACTTCCAGAAGACCCCAACTGGAATGTCACTGAGTTCCACACCACGCCCAAGATGTCCACGTACTTGCTGGCCTTCATTGTCAGTGAGTTCGACTACGTGGAGAAGCAGGCATCCAATGGTGTCTTGGTATGAGGCTGGGCCCATCTCTCCTTCACGTGGGCTGGCCCCGGCTTGAGGGGTCTTCCCGTTCTCTTCATCCCTGTGCCAGTTTCTGAATTGTTAGGCCAGGGTTGGAATCCCACCTCTGAGTGATTTCAGGCAAGTGTCTTGTTCTCTGGTTCTCCATTTCTGCACCTGAAAAATGAAAACAATGGTTTCTCTTCATGAAGGGAGTTCCTGACCCACCGGTTACCAGACAGACGGTGGCTATGATGATTGTTATTCTCCAAAGGCCCTTCTCTAGGACCCACAGCCTCCAGACCCCAGTAGCGTTCCCCTCTGCTGACCAGGCCTCTAGGTTTAGCTTGATTGGCCTCCAGCCCTGGCCCATCAGGGATCCCCCCAGCCCACTGGGCCCTGGGACCCAGCCCACCTGCCCCAGGATCAAACAGGAGCCCCTGGTCTGCTTCTTCCTCACACCTTGCAGATCCGGATCTGGGCCCGGCCCAGTGCCATTGCGGCGGGCCACGGCGATTATGCCCTGAACGTGACGGGCCCCATCCTTAACTTCTTTGCTGGTCATTATGACACACCCTACCCACTCCCAAAATCAGGTGAGTGGGGGTCCTTGAGGAGGGAGGCAGTGGATGGAGCTCCACTCCCGGAGTTCATCCTGCCAATGGCATCGCCTCCCCAGACCAGATTGGCCTGCCAGACTTCAACGCCGGCGCCATGGAGAACTGGGGACTGGTGACCTACCGGGAGAACTCCCTGCTGTTCGACCCCCTGTCCTCCTCCAGCAGCAACAAGGAGCGGGTGGTCACTGTGATTGCTCATGAGCTGGCCCACCAGGTAGACCCCCATCTCGGGGAGTGCGGAGAAGGAAACAGGGGCTCCGAGAGGAGACGGCGCAAGTCCAGGCTCTGCCCCGGGCTGCTGAGAAGGGAGGAGGGTGCCGCCTGGCAGGGCAGCAGGAAGGGGTCACGATGGTGTTGAAATCCCCACTGTGCCTGGCAGATGGCCAGCCCTGGGGAGGGTAGTTCTGGGGATTCTCAGTGCCCAGCCTGGGCGTGGCTTGCCCAGCTGACCCCTCCCCCCACAGTGGTTCGGGAACCTGGTGACCATAGAGTGGTGGAATGACCTGTGGCTGAACGAGGGCTTCGCCTCCTACGTGGAGTACCTGGGTGCTGACTATGCGGAGCCCACCTGGAACTTGGTAAGCCAGCTGCCCAGGGGTCTGGTGCGGGGGGCATGGAGGGAGACCTGGGCCACCGCTACCAGGCCAGTCTCCTGATGGCCCTGGGGAATTTGCAGAAAGACCTCATGGTGCTGAATGATGTGTACCGCGTGATGGCAGTGGATGCACTGGCCTCCTCCCACCCGCTGTCCACACCCGCCTCGGAGATCAACACGCCGGCCCAGATCAGTGAGCTGTTTGACGCCATCTCCTACAGCAAGGTGCAGCCCGCTCCTCGTGGGGCACGGGGAAGGAGGTGGGGACTTGGCCTGGAGGGGCCTCACTGAAGGCAGGGTCTGGGGGCACAGGGTCCTGGTGGCTCTGCACAGCCTTCTGAGCGCCCCCTCACCCCCACCCCAGGGCGCCTCAGTCCTCAGGATGCTCTCCAGCTTCCTGTCCGAGGACGTATTCAAGCAGGGCCTGGCGGTGAGTACTGCACCCTGGGCCAGCCATGAGGGTGGGTCTCCTTCTGCCCCTCGCCCTTGACCCGGGCCTCTGCCCACCACAGAGGGGGAGCCTGGGGGGCTCCAGCTGTGCTCTCACTGTGCCCCGTCTTTCCACAGTCCTACCTCCACACCTTTGCCTACCAGAACACCATCTACCTGAACCTGTGGGACCACCTGCAGGAGGTCAGTAGCAGCCAGCCCCTCCACAGCCATCCTGTTGGGGTCTTGAGATGCTGAAGGTACCTGGGGGCAGCACATGCGTAAGAGAATGGGTCCAGCTCCGCGGCTGACCAGCCCTGCAGGGTGGATGGAGCCTCTGTTGCTCCTCCCTATAGTGGAAGCCGGGATGGCTCCTTGCAAGAGGTGTCTGAGTGAGGCTGTGGTTGAGGTCCTGGCCAGCAGCTGACCTCAGGCTACAGCGGGCTTCTTGATGGGAGCTGTAGAGCCCCTTCCTGGTGGTGAGGAAACTGCCCTCATGGTTCCCGCCTCTGCCTGGAACTCTGGAGCCTGACATTCAACCTTCTCCCCACTCCTGGCTGCCCTGTGCCCCCCGCTGGCGCCACGGGCATGTCTCTGCACACAGCTCCACCACCCTCAGCAGGAACTCTGCCCTCTGCCCCTGCCCCGGCTCGAGTTCCTCTCCATCAGACCCCGCACAGCCCCTGTTTGTAGGGCAGATCCCCAGACTGCCACACCCTCCTGCCTTCCCCCAGAGGCCGCCGCTCCTCTCCCTCCCCCAGGGTTGGAGTCCACCTCCTCTCCATCCTGCCCCCATCATTTCCGCTGACATCATTTCCCTGACAGCTGCCCCCTACCCCTTCCCTGCAGCTCTGCCCAATGCTAGCGTCTTAAGCCAGAGGACAGACATGTCCTCTCCTCACCGACAGCCCCTCCAGAGTTCCGAGCCTCAAATTCCCGTCCAGCTTCTACCCCACTGTTGCTGCTGCACTTCCAGTCCAGGCCTGTCTCACCAGGGAAGCGAGACCCAGGATCTTGTCACAGAGTCACAGCTGAGGTCCGGGTCCCTGCTGGGCAATTTCCAACCCCCTAGACCCCAAGATGCTGCTGACAAAATGACACTGTCATTGCCTGGGTCTCCCCCACTACCTTCCTTGCCCTGCCCCAACTTCCCCTTTGCGTTCCCTCCTAAGCCAAGCTCTCCTCCCTCTCACTCCTCTTTCCTGAGACCCTCGGCCGGCAGCCCCCAGCTGGTTCCTCCCCACATGCTCTTCTGCCCTCTGTGTGGCCCCGTTCTTAGGTGATTCCTTTCTTCAGTTATTAACAAATGGGGTTGGCTTTCTGTTGTGATGACAAAGGCAAGGCAGGTGCATGAGCAAAGATCCAAGAAGACAAGAAGACAACAACAGTGCCCCTGAGTCCCGCCCCACACCCCAGTCCGAGTGCACTTCCCTCATGCGACCCCCAGGGCCCCGTCCCCCACCCCTGCCTGTGACACCTGAACACTGGCTTTCTCTCATCTCTGTCTCCTCTTTCTTGTCCTCCTCCCAGTGTTGTTCAGGAAGAGCCATGGGCATCCTGGGCACCCCCTCCCTGACATACACACCTCAGGGTGGACCACAGAATGGAGGGCCTCATAGATTTGCTGGGAAGTTCTCCAGCTCGTCCAGCACTGAGCAGCCGAGGAGAGGCAGAGCTGGACGGTACCCTGGCTCCCGGCTCCCAGCCCAGTGCCCTTCCCAGGCCTCCCATACAAGTGGCCCCCCGGGGTCGAGGCGAGAATCTGCAGGAGATGCCCTGGATGGCAGGGACTGGAGGGTCCCACTGATGGCCACGCCCTCTCGCTCCACCCACAGGCTGTGAACAACCGGTCCATCCAACTCCCCACCACCGTGCGGGACATCATGAACCGCTGGACCCTGCAGATGGGCTTCCCGGTCATCACGGTGGATACCAGCACGGGGACCCTTTCCCAGGAGCACTTCCTCCTTGACCCCGATTCCAATGTTACCCGCCCCTCAGAATTCAAGTGAGCAGATGGGGTCACTGAGGCATGGTCAGGTGGGTGGGGTAGAGGGCAGTTACTAAGGGACCATAGTAGGACTGGCCTCCTGTGGTCCCAGCCCCAGCCACTGTAGACAGACCCTCCCTCCAGAGCCAGGAGTTCAGGGGCACTCGGTGCCAGAGCTGGGCAGAAGCTGGGAGCCTGGGCAGCTGCTCCTCACTGGCAGTGACCACACCGCCATCTCTCACCACCTCTGGATCTTTAATTGCAGCTACGTGTGGATTGTGCCCATCACATCCATCAGAGATGGCAGACAGCAGCAGGACTACTGGCTGATAGATGTAAGAGGTAATCCAGCCCTGCCTTATGGGCAGCAGCCCCCACCCCATACTCCTAGCTCCTGGCCCATGTTCTGAGGGCTGTGATGGGCCATTCCATTCAACAAATGGACTTGACTTCTTTGGTTCCAATCTCCACTTTGCTGCTGCTTCGCTGTGTGACTCTGGGCAAGTTACCATCCCGCTCTGGTCTCTAGTTCCTCTTCTATAAAATGAGGCTAAGAGCAATACTCCATTAGTTATGTGAGGATTAAAGGAGAGAATCCTAGGCCAGGCATGGTGGCTCATGCCTGTAATCCCAGCACTTTGGGAGGCCGAGGCGACCTGGGGTCAGGAGTTCGAGACCAGCCTGACAAACATGGAGAAACCCCATTTCTACTAAAAATACAAAATTAGCCAGGTGTGGTGGTGCATGCCTGTAATCCCAGCTACTCTGGAGGCTGGGGCAGGAGAATTGCTTGAACCTGGGAGGCAGAGGTTGCAGTGAGCCAAGATCGCACCATTGCACTCCAGCCTGGGCAACAAGAGCGAAACTCTGTCTCAAAAAAAAAAAAAAAAAAAAAAGGAGAGAATCCACATAAAATGCTTAAAGTAGTGCCTGGCACATGTTATGAGCAGCCCTACTCAGCAAGGCACTGAAGAAGCGAAGGGCATGACAAGTCATCCTTTGCCTTGGCCAAGGCTACAGATGAAGGAAGGCAAGAAGTTGGAGGCATTCTAGTGCTGTGCTGAGTGCTTTCAGAGTGTATGGTTGGGGCTAGTGAGGTATGGGGACATGGAGCAGGGAATAAGGGAGATTCAAGTTCATGGAGAGGTCAGGGAGGGCTTCCCGGAGGAGGTGAGCTGAGTCTTAGAGGAAGAGTAGGAATCAGACAGGCTAATGTGGCAGAGAAAAGAATTCCAGGCAAAGGGAATAGCAAGTGCCAGGGATAGAGGTAGGAGAGAGTGTGGGGACTGAGTGTAGCTAGGGCAGAGGTGTGCCCAAGAGATAAAGCTGGTCCCCAAGGGCCCCAGGGGCTGCAGGAGACAGTGGATGGGGCAGGTGGGAAATGAGCAACCTATTGGCCCTGACCTCTGGCTGCTGAAACAAAGTATGAGAGGAGTGAGGGAGGAGGGGGACCCACAGGGAGGAAGGGGCACTAAGCCCCAGAAAGAGACAGCAGCACTGGGGGTCTGGGTGAATGGGAGGGGAAGGGAGAGGAGGAGCTGCCTGTGGTTCCCACTTGGGTGACAGGTGTGATGGAGTGTGGAGGAGGGCAAGGAGGAGGAACAGCCTGGATTGCTGAGTGTGAGCGGCCTGGCAGCTGGCCTGGCCGTGCAGAGCCTAGGGAGGCAGGGCAGGTTCTGAGGTTTGGGGTGGCATGTCATCTTCATGGGTTGATGGTCTGTGAAGCCACTGGCAGCCCAGTTCCTCATCCCTTCCTTCCCCACCCTTAGCGTCTCCCCAGCAGCTTGAGGGTGAGGTGGTGCCAGGCTGCGGGGGCAGCTGCTCTTGCAAGAGGTCCAGGGGTCAGCCCATGGCCTCTGAGCAGCCCTGCCCAGGTCTCGTCCCTCTCCACAGCCCAGAACGATCTCTTCAGCACATCAGGCAATGAGTGGGTCCTGCTGAACCTCAATGTGACGGGCTATTACCGGGTGAACTACGACGAAGAGAACTGGAGGAAGATTCAGACTCAGCTGCAGAGAGACCACTCGGTGAGTGTCTGCCACCCCTCGCCCTGCCCCCTGCCCCAGGACAGGCACCAGACTGCAAGGCCTGCCACCCACAGCCAACCCATGGTCACATGCTGTGCTTCGCATTCTAGGCCATCCCTGTCATCAATCGGGCACAGATCATTAATGACGCCTTCAACCTGGCCAGGTGAGTGCTCCGCTGCCTGGCTCAGCTGCAGAAGCTCGTGACTTCAGCAAGTCTGAGTCCACAATGAGGGCCCCTGCTCCTCCTGCTGCCCTTCCCATATGCCACGTGCTGTGCCCTGAGCTCCTGTGCTCCCTGGACGTCCCTCCCTGGGTCCCCACACACCCATTTCACAGATGAAGAATGTGACACCTTGCCCGAAGTCACACAGTAGTTCATGACAGCCAGACAGAGGCTTGTCCAACTCCAAAGCCATCCTCTACTCCACAGCACCAAGCTTTTTGTTTTTGTTTTTGTTTGTTTGTTTGTTTGTTTGTTTGTTTTGAGACGGAGTCTCGCTCTGTTGCCCAGGTTGGAGTACAGTGGCGCGATCTCAGCTCACTGCAGCCTCCACCTCCCAGGTTCAAGCGATTCTCTGCCTCAGCCTCCCGAGTTGCTGGGATTACAGGTGTGCACCACCATGCCCAGCTAATTTTTGTATTTTTAGTAGAGATGGGGTTTCACCATGTTGGTCAGGCTGGTCTCGCACTCCTGACCTTGTGATCCACCCACCTCGGCTTCCCAAAGTGCTGGGATTACAGGCATGAGCCATGGCACCTGGCCATGCCCCCCCGCTTTTTTTTTTTGAGATGGAGTCTTGCTCTGTCACCCGGGCTGGAGTGCAGTGGCGTGATCTTGGCTCACTACGACCTCTGCCTCCTAGATTCAAGCGATTCTCCCTTCTCGGCCTCCTGAGTAGCTAGGATTACAGGCATGTGCCACCATGCCCAGCTGATTTTTGCATTTTTAGTACAGATGGGGTTTCACCATGTTGACCAGGCTGGTCTCAAACTCCTGACCTCAGGTGATCCACCTGCCTTGCCATCCCAAAGAGCTGGGATTATAGGTGTGAGCCACCGTGCCCAGCTGCACCAAGCTTTTCCTGAAGGCTGACTATGCTGGGCCACTGTTCTAAGTGCCAAAAATCTGGGCTGGACAGGGCAGGAGGGATGCAGTATGGATAAACAGGTACTTATTGAGCACCTACTCTGTTTGGGGTGAGGTACTCTAAGCTCTTGGACATGAGTGATGTCACCCACAGACAAGGACATTTGTGAGCTAAATGTGTACAGAAGGCAGGAGGAAGAAAGGCCTAGAGTGCCCAGAAAGTCAGAAGAGGTGGTCAGAGTTAAGAACACGGGCTTCTTGCCCTTTTAAATCTCAGCTCTGTCTCTCGTGAGGTGTGTGACCTTGGGCAAGTCACTTCACTTCTCTGAGCCTCAGTTTCCTCATCTGTAAAATGGGGATAATAAGCAAAGGAGTGGAACTGCCAATGGGTGAGGGTGGGGCCTTGTTTGTGGCACCACCCAGCAGCCATGTAGCTCTTTTTCCATGGCAAATGCCTGAGCTGGCTCAGTTGGGAATCTGGGACCTCCGGCTCCAGGAGTGGATACAGGGGGCCTAGGGGTGTGGAGCATCTTTGAGGGCCTGGGTTGGGGTTCCCAGGCTGTGGCTGGGCTGGGTGGAGGTGCTTTACTTGGGCCCCTCTGTTTATTCCCAGTGCCCATAAGGTCCCTGTCACTCTGGCGCTGAACAACACCCTCTTCCTGATTGAAGAGAGACAGTACATGCCCTGGGAGGCCGCCCTGAGCAGCCTGAGCTACTTCAAGCTCATGTTTGACCGCTCCGAGGTCTATGGCCCCATGAAGGTACGGAGGTGCATGGTAGGGTTCAAGAACCAGTTCGCCCCAGTGCCTGAAAGTGCACTATTAGGAAGTTAATAGACTATTGCCTACTGGACTCCTGGTCAGGGAACCTTCAAAAGCAAAACAAAAAACCAAAAAAAAAGAAAGATTGCCTTGTCAGGTTCTCTCCTGAGAGCACGCAGGTGAAAGAGCGAGCCGGAGGGACATGGAGGTGAGTGAGCAGGCACTGAGGAGGTGAGTGAGGAGGCTGCGTGGGGCAAAACAATAAAGGTCGCGGAGACTTCAGCAACGTTTGTTGATTTGAAATATGGGGAATTAACGCTTTCAGAAGGCACAGAAAAGGCCACCATGCTGAGGGCCAGAAGACCTGTCTTTTGCCAGCTGTGTGGCCTTGGGCAACCCTTTCTCAGACCCAGTTAACTTCTCTGTCAGATGGGCAGGCCTCTACCTGCCCGGCCAGCCCACCTGCGCTATGAGAGAGATGTGGGTATTGGCTGCTTTGGAGTATCTTAAGGCTGAGCATAGGGGCCTATTTGAGGGCTGAGGCTCCCGCTTGGGAGACCAAAAGGAAACTCGAGCTTATTCTGGATGAATAAGCTACATCCATAGGATGCTCACTGCAGCAGTTTATAAAAGACAAAAAGCAAACAAAACACAAATACTTAAACGTCTAAAGGTTGAAGATTGGTTAAACTGTAGAATATCCATTTCAGGGTGTGATATGTAGTCATTAAATCATGCTTGAAGAGATCTTTTTTCATTAAAAAATGTTCAATTATCAGGCCGGGTGCAGTGGGGCTCATGCCTGTAATCCCAGCACTTTGGGAGGCCGAGGCAGGCGGATCACGAGGTCAGCAGATCGAGACCATCCTGGCTAACACGGTGAAACCTCGTCTCTACTAAAAAAAAAAAAATACAAAAAATTAGCCAGGCGTGGTGGCGGGCACCTGTAGTCCCAGCTACTCGGGAGGCTGAGGCAGGAGAATGGCATGAACCTGGGAGGTGGAGCTTGCAGTGAGCCAAGATGGTGCTACTGCACTCCAGCCTGGGCAACAGAGCAAGACTCCATCTCAAAAAAAAAGAAAAAAAAAAAGTTCAATTATCTGTTAATATCCATTATGGTAAATGAGAGATTTTGGTAAATGAAGTTTCAACCCTCTTACTGCTTTCCCCACATTCCCCATCCTCCTAATGTAGTTAAATCATAATATTTAGTCAAATCAGTGTTAAGCATTTGCTTTATTGTGATTATCTAAATAGTATTCTCTGCTGAGCCATGTAGAGCACTATGTTTATGTTTCCTTTTTTGTACACAGTTACAAATGTATCACACAATAGGTCAAGTTTTTGTTTGTTTGTTTAGAGACAAGGTCTCACTCTCTTGCCCAAGCTGGAGTGCAGTGGTGCAATCAAGCTTCACTGCAGCCTCAAATACCTAGGCTCAAGGGATCCTCCTGCCTCAGTCTCTCCATTAGCTGGGACCTCAGATGTGCACCACCATGCTCTTTTGTAGAGATGCATCTTTTGTAGAGATGGGATCTTTCTGTATTGGCCAGGATGGTCTGGAACACCTGGCTTCAAGCAATCCTCCCTCCTTGGCCTCCCAAAGTGTTATGATTATAGGCGTGAGCCACTGTGCCCAGCCCAGTTTTGAGACTGGACTCCTCCTGGAGTCCTATTCTGCCTGCTCTCTTCCAGAGCTGCCACACAGCTCCCATGCTTGGAGGTGCCTCCCTCTACTGTGTTTCCTGCATCCCATGGATTCTTTGATTTTTTCCCCTCTCATAGGGGAATACATCTTCCAGGAGTTTTTGAGAAAGGGTTCATGAGAGGTGACTTTTCTGGGGTAGATCATCTGAAATGTCTTTATTCCACTCTCACACTGGATTGAGCGTTCAGCTGAGTTTAGAAGTTTCAAGGTGGGAAATTATTTCTCTGAATGTTTAAGGTCTTGCTCCACTGATGTCAGGCTTGCCATGTTGCTGATGCGATGCCCAGAGCCATTCTTATTTCCAGTTATTTGAATGTGACCAGTTTTCCTCCCTTCTGGAAACTTTGGGAGCTTCTCTCGGTCCTGGTGGGCCTTGGTTTGGGCCTCGTCTCCATCTACCTTTTCCAATCAGGACTGGCATTCACATCATCTAGTATTGGAAGATTTTGTATTGCTTCTTTAAACTTTATTCCCTTCACTTTTTCCAGTTATCTCTTTCTGGAACCCCTGTAATCCAGCTTATTTCTCTTGCTTTCATCCTCTAGTTTTCTTTTTCTCTTCTGTTTTCCAGCTTGTTGACTTTTTATTCTGCCCCCTGGGAGGTTCCCTCAGCTTTGCACACCACCTCACCTAGAAATTGTTTTCATTTCTTCTGTCGTATTTTTAAATTTCCAAGTGTTCTTTCTGATTCCAGCATCCTATGCAATATCTTCTCTTCACTCTCAGAGGATATTTATTACAGGCTCTTATGAAGTTTTCCTTTTTTTTTTTTTTTCCATTGACTCGTTTCCTCTTGAGTTTTGTGTTTGTTTTGGCCTCTTTTCAAGTTGGAGGCTGAGCCACCCCTTTGGGTTTGAGACAGACACAAACAAAATGCAAGTGGAAGCTCCATGGGAAGGTGGAGTGTGTTGTCCGGGGGATCTCATTGCGAGGTGACTGGGTGGCCAAGTAACTCTTCACTGGGGACCCTCAAAAATTAGTCCATGGGTTTGTTCTCTCGAGACAAGGCAGTTTTTCCAGAGAGTAAGCCTCTGTATTGTGCAATGAGGCTGGTAGTACTCCCATTCTAGGACACAGGAGGGAAGGGAACTGGGGTGCCACCTTTCAGTATGGAAACTTTCACCTCTGACCCTCTTTGCAATCCAGCAACCCTCCCACTGTGGTCTGGTGACCCCACTTTCTGAGCCCCCTGGTTCAATCTCTCTCATGGGGTGGTGAGGGGTGCTGCCCTCTACAAGGAGGGAAGTGGGGACTTGGGGGTTGAATGACTCCTTCTGTAGACTTTGACTTCATCTTCCTGTTTGCAGTCCTTACCTCCCCTCTGTCCCTTGCTGACTTGTCCCTTTAATTTTTTTATTTATTTTTATTTATTTATTTATTTTTGAGACAGAATCCCACTCTGTCACCCAGGCTGGAGCGCAGTGGCCCGATCTTGGCTCACTTCAACCTCCACCTCCCAGATTCAAGCGATTCTCCTGCCTCAGCCTCCTGAGTAGCTGGGATTACAGGCGCCTGCCACCATGCCTGGCTAATTTTTGTATTTTTAGTAGCTTCGGGGTTTCACCACGTTGGCCAGGCTGGTCTCAAACTCCTGACCTCAGGTGATCCGCCCGCCTCAGCCTCCCAAAGTGCTGGGATTACAGGCATGTGCCCCCATACCTGGCCTTGTCCCTTTAATTCTGAGTCTTGTCACAGCAAGTTCCCTTGCTTCTGTCTCCCCTTCTGCAGATTCTCAATTGCAAATTCTCCCACTCTGCCAAGCCTGGTACATCTCCCTTTCTGCGCGTCCCAGCTGCCTAAACTATATTGACCTTGCATCCGCTGTTGCCTCTCCTGTTCTTTGTTATTGGGGGTTTATTCCTTTTACATTTGGACGTGGATCCAGGTGGGCACAGAAATCAACCTGCCATGTCAAACCAGAGTCCACAAAGGATTTTACTAGCATGGGGTGGGGCTTACACTACAATGTTAGGAGAAAAATGCCATGTGAAGAATATGCTAAGTAAAAAAGAAAAAACTATAGAAAAAAGAAGGTGTAAATGCATCAATGTGGAAACTGTAGTTTTGGTGAGCTCCTGGGTGTGTTTTATTTTCTGCATATACTTCTCTGTGTTTCCCAAATTCCCTACAATAAGTCATGGAATTTTTTTTTTTTTTTTTTTTTGAGATGGAGTCTCGCTCTGTTACCCAGGCTGGAGTGCAGTGGCGTGATCACAGCTCACTGTAACCTCTGCCTCCCGGGTTTAAGCGATTCTCCTGCCTCAGCCTCCCAAGTAGCTGGGAATACAGGTGTGCACCACCACACTCGGCTAATTTTTTTGTGGTTTTAGTAGAGACGTGGTTTCACCATGTTGCCCAGGCTGATCTCGAACTCCTGGACTCAGGGGATCCACCCGCCTCAGCCTCTCAAAATGCTGGAATTACAAGTGTGAGCCACTGCGCCCAGCAACTCATGGAATATTTATGATTGTGTAGGGAAAACCCAACATTTTATATTAAGAAATGGTGACCCGTAGACAAAGAATATTGCAACTGACTAAGGCTTTAAGCAGAAAGAAACTCAGCTCAGTTATTTGAACTCTAGACTTCTATGGGCCCCTTTGAGCACTGTTTGGCCTCAGGTGAGGCCCTGACCTCTGACGTCTCTGCCAGCGCCTGCCCCCCAACATCAGAGGCTCTGTGGGGCTCCAGGCAGGTCAGGCATGAGTCTTTGATGAGATTCATATTTTCTTTTCCCCAGAACTACCTGAAGAAGCAGGTCACACCCCTCTTCATTCACTTCAGAAATAATACCAACAACTGGAGGGAGATCCCAGAAAACCTGATGGACCAGTGAGTGGGAGCTCTCATGGGTTTGGAAGTCCTGGGCACCCCGGGGAGTCAAGAGCAACATCCTGGCAGTGTTCTCTGCCGCAGCTCTCAATGCGGGGGCACCAGGCAGGGAGAGACCCCCACCCAGGAGCAGGGAGGTCCTGCCCTGAGGCTCCATGTGGCCTGAGGGCCCATCGGACCTCTTTATACAAAGACCCAAACTGAAACTCTAGCTCACCCCACTGGCTTGAGGTTATACAGTTTCTAGGTGTTGAAACTGGGGCTGGAGCCTGTTCCTGCCCTTCTGGGTCACAGGGCTGCTTTGGGGACCAAGGAACCTCAGGCCCAAGGCACAAAGCACATACAGCGGGGGTCAGAGGGCCAGTTAGGCCACAGAGCCTTAGGCAGGGTGCCGGCCTGGGGTTGTGTGTCAAGAGGTGAATCTTGGCTGGAGTTCGCCAGGTGTGCTAACCGCGTGTCACCCCTGGGGCAGGTACAGCGAGGTTAATGCCATCAGCACCGCCTGCTCCAACGGAGTTCCAGAGTGTGAGGAGATGGTCTCTGGCCTTTTCAAGCAGTGGATGGAGAACCCCAATAATAACCCGTGAGTGTCTCCCCTGCGCCTCCTCTGCCAGTCTTCATCTGCCCCCAACAGCCCCGTCCTCAGCAGAACCCTGTCCCACCCTCCCCGCTGCTGTTCCACACCTGACCTCCCTACCCCACACCAGGATCCACCCCAACCTGCGGTCCACCGTCTACTGCAACGCTATCGCCCAGGGCGGGGAGGAGGAGTGGGACTTCGCCTGGGAGCAGTTCCGAAATGCCACACTGGTCAATGAGGCTGACAAGCTCCGGGCAGCCCTGGCCTGCAGCAAAGAGTTGTGGATCCTGAACAGGTGAGTCTTGGCGCAGGGTGGGACTGCGAGAGCCCTCTCCCCACCTGGAGAACCAGGCAGGCCTCCACACTCCTCGCCAGATCCTTCACGTGACCCCCACAGACCTGTTGAGGTGGAGGCAGTATTTCCAAAGTAACCGGTGCAGACTGGAAGCTTTAATAAGTGATAGAGACAAGATATGGACTCAGGTCTGGGTCCATGTCCTCTGTTCCTAGCTGCTGTGGCCTCTTAGCCTTTACCTGACAACAACTCGTCTTCCCTTCTGTCAAAGGCTCTGGTGTAGCTGGACCTGGGTCTTTTCAAACATCCAGCTGGGCACCCCCTCAAGCCCTTGGATGAGGGTCCCCACCTCCCACCATGTGCCTCATATGCCATTACCTGGATGCAGTAAAGAAGAGCCACCCTTGGGCAGGGTGTGGTGGCTCATACCTGTAATCCCAGCACTTTGGAAGACTGAGGTGGATGGATCACCTGAGGTCAGGAGTTCGAGACCAGCCTGGCCAACATGGAGAAACCCCGTCTCTACTAAAAATACTAAAAATACAAAAAAAAAAAAAAAATAGGCATGGTGGCACATGCCTGTAATCCCAGCTACCCGGGAGGCTGAGGCAGGAGAATCACTTGAACCTGGCAGGCGAAGGTTACAGTAAGCCCAAATCGCTCCACTGCACTCCAGCCTGGGCGACAGAGTGAGACTCCGTCTCGAAAGAAAAGAAAAGAGAAAAGAAAAGAAAAGAAAAGAAGGGCCACCCTCAGTGTCAAAGACGGGAGTGACCACCCACCTGGTGCCAGGGCTTGGGGCGCTAGGACTCCTTCCTTCATTGATTCATTGTCAAATATTTCTATGTCAGGCATGACACTAGCTTAGCCAGTGACCCTGTGACCCTGCTTAGGTGACTCAGTTTTCCATCTATAGAGGGAAGAAGGACCAAGGGGTCCCTCAGCCCCTGGCAGGCCGAGGGGATGTTGAGAGGATGCAGGCATAGGTGATGTGCGTGGGACAGTCCAAGTTCTCTCCTGAGTCACCTGAATTAGCAGTAGCTGAGACAGCATCTGGCCCTCTTAGGTACCTGAGCTACACCCTGAACCCGGACTTAATCCGGAAGCAGGACGCCACCTCTACCATCATCAGCATTACCAACAACGTCATTGGGCAAGGTCTGGTCTGGGACTTTGTCCAGAGCAACTGGAAGAAGCTTTTTAACGAGTGAGTCTGTGGAATGGGTGTCAGGGACAGCGAGCGCCGAGGCTGGGGCCCCGGGGGGTGGCCTGTGCGGGTAAGACACGCCGGGGGCACTAACCAGAAGTGGACAAAAATCAGCCAAGCCTGGGGGCTAGGGTGGGGCAGGAATGGAAAGACAAGCTGGGGTATGGGCCGTCCCTTTTCCCATTTGGAAGGAAAACGTGGCGTGTGGGCGTATTCTCCAGAAGAGAGGGGAGTGAGGAACTCGGCAGTCAGACCTGTGTTCAAGCTGTGACTCCCCCACATCCTAGTGGGGTCTCCCAGGGCGTGTCATTTCATCTCCTCTATAATCATGGCTCCCTACCCAGTAGGTGTGAGGATGAGCCTCCTTAGTTCCCGGCCTCCCTCACAGTTCACCTCTCTCCCTCCCTGCAGTTATGGTGGTGGCTCGTTCTCCTTCTCCAACCTCATCCAGGCAGTGACACGACGATTCTCCACCGAGTATGAGCTGCAGCAGGTAAGAAGTCATTCCCCAGACCTGGGCTCTGCCTACTTCCTTCCCAGGCCAAAGGGGCACTCCATTCTTCTCCCACGTGGCCCTGAGGGAGCACAGGCTCCACGCCGCCAGGCCTTCCTCATTTACAGAGGAAGCCGAGTAGCCAGACTTTGGAAATGTTGATAATTCAATTTAAAAAATTCATCTTGGGATTTTTGTATAGGCACAAAAGGGAAGAGTGGTATAATGAACCTCCATGTACCCGTTACCCAGGTTCAACAATTATCAACATTTTGCCAGTACTTTTTCCGGGCGGGCAATTTTTAAGCAAATCACTGATCATGTAATTTTACCTCTAAATAATTTAGTCATATGAAAAATAAACGCATTCTTTTATTTTTTTTATTTTTTATTTTTTTTTTGAGATGGAGTCTTGCTCTGTCACCCAGGCTGGAGTGCAGTGGTGCGATCTGGGCTCACTGCAAGCTCCGCCTCCCGGGTTCACGTCATTCTCCTGCCTCAGCTTCCTGAGTAGCTGGGACTACAAGTGCCCGCCACCGCGCCTGGCTAATTTTTTTGTATTTTTAGTAGAGATGGGGTTTCACCATGGTCTCGATCTCCTGACCTCATGATCTGCCTGCCTCGGCCTCCCAAAGTGCTGGGATTACAGGCGTGAGCCACGGCGTCCAGCTTTTTTTTTTTTTTGAGACTGAGTCTCGCTCTGTCATGCAGGCTGGAGTGGTGCAGTGGTATGATCTCGGCTCACTGCAACCTCTGCCTCTGGGGTTCAATCAATTCTCCTGCCTCAGCTTCCCGAGTAGCTGGGATTACAGGCATGCGCCCCCACACCCGGCTAATTTTTGTATTTTTAGTAGAGACGAGGTTTCACCATGTTGGCCAGGCTGGTCTCGAACTCCTGACCTCAAGTGATCCACCCACCTCGGTCTCCCAAAGTGCTGAGATTACAGGTGTGAGCCACTGCGCCCAGCAATAAAGGGATTCTTAAAACATAATCACACTGTCCTTAGCAAACCCAGGAAAATGATTATCTTCTTACTATCATATACCCAAGGCATATTCAAATTTTCTAAGTTGTTTATAAAAGGTCTTTTTACAATTGATATATATGCTTGAATTAGAAGCTTGACAAAGTCAACTTGGATTAAGTTAGTTTGTCTTTTTTAAAAATTGAGATATAATTTGCTGGGCGTGGTGGCTCACACCTGTAGTCCCAGCACTTTAGGAGGCTAAGGTGGGTGGATCACCTGAGGTCGGGAGTTCCAGACCAGCGTGGCCAACATGGTGAAACCCTGTCTCTACTAAAAATACAAAAATTAGCTGGGTGTGGTGGGGGGTGCCTGTAGTCCCAGCTACTCGGGAGGCTGTGGCAGAATAATTGCCTGAATCCAGGAGGCGGAGGTTGCAGTGAACCAAGATTGTGCCACTGCACTCCAGCTTGGGCGACAGAGTGAGACTCTGTCTCAAAAAAAAAAAATTGATATATAATTCATGGACCATCAAACTCACCATTTTAAGTGGTTTTCAGTAAACTAACAAGGTAGGGTGGGTGGGGTGCTTCATGCCTGTAATCCCAGCACTTTGGGAGGCCAACGCAGGAGGATCCCTTGAACCCAGGAGTTTGAGACCAGCCTGGGCAATATCATAAGATCTCATCTCTAAATAAATAAATAAATAAATAAATAAATAAATAAATAAGCTGGGCATGGTGGTGCATACCTGTAGTCCTAGCTACTCAGGAGACTGAGGTGAGAGGATCGCTTGAACCAGGAAGGCAGAGGTTGCAGTGAGCGGAGGTGGTGCCACCGCATTCCAGCCTGGGTGACAGAGCAAGACCCTGTCTCAAAAAACCAAAACCAAACCAAACCAAACAAACAAACAGAAAAAAACCATGTGGTACAACCATCACTACTGTCTAATTCCAGAACATTTTTATTACGCCAAAAAAAAACCTTGTACTCATTAGCAGTCACTCCTTATTCCTACCTGGTCCCCTCAGCCCCTGGCAACCACTAATATACTTTCTGTCTCTATGGATTTATTACCTATTCTGGATGTTTCATAAAATGGAATCATATACACACAGCCTTTTTGTGTCTGTCTGCCTTCTTTCACTTAGTGTAATGTTTTCAAGATTCATGCATACGGTAGCAGGGATCATTCTTTTTTATGGCTGAATAATGGTCCATTACATGGATGTACCACATTTTGTTTTCAGCTCATCATTGATGGGCATTTGGGTTGTTTCAGTCTTCTGGCTGTGATGAATATCATGGACCTTCACGTGCAAATTTTGTACAAACATGTTTTAATTTATCTTGGGTATACACCTAGGAGCGGAATTGCTGGGTCATTTGGTTACTCTGTGTTTAACTTTTTGAGAAACTGACAAAATGTTTTCCAAAGCAACTGTACCATTGTCCATTCCTATTAGCAGTGTATCACATGAGGGTTCTAATTGCTCCATGTCTACACTTATCTCTCTTTCCCTCTTTTTTTAGTATAGTCATCTAGTGGGTAGGAAGTGGTATCATTATGGTTTTCAGTTATATCTCCCTAATGAGTAATGAATGACATGATGTTGAATATTTCATGTGCTTATTGGCCTTATACACATTTGTGTATCTTTGGAGAAATGGGTAAAACTGACTATTTTTCTTTTCGAGAGAGGGTCTTACTATGTTGCCTAGGTTGTCCTTAAATTCCTGGGCTCAAGCAACCCTCCCACTTCAGCCTTCTGAGTAGCTTGGATTACAGGCATGTGCCACTGTGCCCAGTCTTTTGCTATTTTAAAATTGGGTTGTCTTTTTATTGTAAGAGTTCTTTATATATTCTGAATATTAGACCCTTAATCAGAGATAGGGTTTGCAAGTATTTCTCCCATTCTATGGACTGTCTTTTCACTCACTTAATAGGTCTTTTGATACCCAAAATTTTAAATCTTGATGAAATCCTATTTATCTGTTTTTTTTCCCTTTGGTTGCTTATACTTTATGTATCATATCTAAGAAAGTATTGTCTAACCCAAGGTCATGAAGATTTATACCTATTTTTTTATTTCAAAAAAATTTTTCAAACCCACAAAAGACCTGACGATGTTTTTTCTAAGAGTTTTATTGGCCAGGCATGGCGGCTCACGCCTGTAATCCCAGCACTTTGGGAGGCCAAGGCAGGTGGATCATGAGGTCAGGAGTTCAAGACCAGCCTGGCCAAGATGGTGAAACCCCGTCCCTACTAAAAAATACGAAAATTAGCTGGATGCAGTGGCGGGCGCCTGTAATCCCAGCTACTCGGGAGGCTGAGGCAGGAGAATTGCTTGAACCCGGGAGGCGGAGTTTGCAGTGAGCTGAGATCGCACCACTGCACTCTAGCCTGGATGACAGAGCAAGACTCTGCCTCAAAAAAAAAAAAAAAAAAAAAAAGAGTTTTATTATGTTTTCACTCAAACGTAGGCATTTGATCTATTTTGACTTAATATTTGTATATGATATGAGGTTGGGGTCCAACTTCATTCCTTTTGCATGTGGATATCCGGTTGTCCAAGTCCCATTTGTTGAAAAGACTGTTCTTCTCCCACTGAATGGTCTTGGCAACCTAGTTGAAAATCAATTGACGGTAAATATAAGGGTTTGTTTTTGGATTCTCAATTCTATTTCATTCATCTATATTTGCATCCTTATGCCTGTACCATACTGTCCTGATTACTATAGTTTTGTAGTGAGTTTTAAAATTGGGAAGTGTGAGTCCTCCAATTTGCTTTTTTTTTTTTTGAGAAAGGGTCTCACTCTGTCACCCAGGCTGGAGTACAGTGGTGAGATCACAGCTCACTGCAGCCTCAACTTCCCAGGCTCAGGTGATCCCCCCACCTCAACCTCCTGAGTAGTTGGGACTATAGGCACATGCCACCATGCCCGGCTAATGTTCTGTATTTTTCTGCAGAGACAGGGTTTCACCATCTTGCCCAGGCTGGCCAACTGTGTTCTTTTTCAATATTGTTTTGGCTATTCTGGGTCCCTTGCAATTTCTTATGCATTTTAGGATCACTGATCAATTTCCGCAAAAAAAAAAAAAAAAAAGTAGTTAAAATTTTGATGGGATTGAATCTCTAGAGCAATATGGGGACTATTGCCATCTTAATGATGCTAAATCTTCCAGTCCATGGACACAGATTTATTTGGGTCTTTTTTCTTTTTACTTAGGTGTTCTTTAATTTCTTTCAAAAATGTTTTGTAGTTTTTGGCATTCCAGTCTTGCACTTATTTTGTCAAATTTATTCCTAAATATTTTATTCTTGTTGATGCTATCGTAAATGGAATTGTTTTCTTAATTTCATTTTCAGGTTTTTCATTGCTAATGTATGGGAATACAATTGATATTTGTGTATTGCTCTTGTATCCTGCAACCTTGCAGAAATCATTAGTTCTAATAGATTTTTTAATGGATTCCTTAAAATTTTTATGTATGCAAACATGTCATACACATAGTTTTACTTCTTCCTTTCTGGATTCCTTTCATTTCATTCTCTTGGCTGATTGCCTGGCTAGAACCTCCAGGACTGATAACTCTTCTAATTTGTAGGAGTATTTTTTTTTTAAACCCATTTATTTACTGAAGCAACTGGATCATTTGTGGTATAGAAATTTCCACATTTTAGATTTGGCTGGTTGCTTCATTAGCCCCTCTCTACTCTCTTGATTGGATTGATATTATAATAAAATATTACACCTGAAGGCCAGAATCTCCCTGAGCCAGGTTTTGCCTGGGATTGTCATTTTGCAACCTCTGTGTTCACAAGGACTTTGCCCGGGAGCAAGGTGGACGTCCTGCCTATCCCTGGAACAGGGTGTGGTCCCATCCATGGGGACTCTAAAGTGGGAGTGGAAAGCCAGAGGCCTGAGAGAGCTCCTCCTCAAGGCTGTTAGGGACCCAGCCGGACTGAGAATCTTTTGTTTTTCTGGCAGCTGGAGCAGTTCAAGAAGGACAACGAGGAAACAGGCTTCGGCTCAGGCACCCGGGCCCTGGAGCAAGCCCTGGAGAAGACGAAAGCCAACATCAAGTGGGTGAAGGAGAACAAGGAGGTGGTGCTCCAGTGGTTCACAGAAAACAGCAAATAGTCCCCAGCCCTTGAAGTCACCCGGCCCCCATGCAAGGTGCCCACATGTGTCCATCCCAGCGGCTGGTGCAGGGCCTCCATTCCTGGAGCCCGAGGCACCAGTGTCCTCCCCTCAAGGACAAAGTCTCCAGCCCACGTTCTCTCTGCCTGTGAGCCAGTCTAGTTCCTGATGACCCAGGCTGCCTGAGCACCTCCCAGCCCCTGCCCCTCATGCCAACCCCGCCCTAGGCCTGGCATGGCACCTGTCGCCCAGTGCCCTGGGGCTGATCTCAGGGAAGCCCAGCTCCAGGGCCAGATGAGCAGAAGCTCTCGATGGACAATGAACGGCCTTGCTGGGGGCCGCCCTGTACCCTCTTTCACCTTTCCCTAAAGACCCTAAATCTGAGGAATCAACAGGGCAGCAGATCTGTATATTTTTTTCTAAGAGAAAATGTAAATAAAGGATTTCTAGATGAGTGAGACTCATTACTAAACTAAAGCAGGAGTGGGTCAATACAGCAGCTGGGGAGGCCGGGTGGGGGAAGCTGGGTGCATGCGGAGCACCGTGGAGTCTGGGACCCCAGAGCACAGGAGGGGAGACGTGCCCAGCCTGCCGGCCCTTCCTGCAGGTGCCCTGCGCCTGTGCCTCCATGTCTGCCTGCAGGACTCCGGGCTCCTTTTCATGCTCTATTGACTGAGCTAGCTGGGTGGTTTGCAGGGCTCCTTTTATTCCTATTCTGATGGCAGCTGGAGCTGCTGGGTGGTGGGGAGCTGTGGACCCAGTGCTCCCGCAGTGAGTGGTGAGAGGGGCCCTGGCAGAGCGCAGGGAGTGCTCTCCAGGAAGCACCCTCCTTAACATGAGGCAAGGGTGCAGGGTGCTGGCCGTGCCCCTCTTCCTGCTCCACGGGAACACCTGGGATACCTGGGACAATGCGGGACAGGTCTGTGCAGTGAAGGCAGCAAGCACAGGGTCCCATACCTGGTGCCACCCTTCACTGGCCAAGGGCACGCCCCACCGTCTTCCGTGGTGGAAGGGTGGAGTGGGGTGTGGGTACCAATGCATAAAGAGGTTGTTTTCTAGAGCAGCACACAGGGATGGGCTGGGCTGAGGAGCAGGCAAACCATGGGGTGGGGACAGCTTTGCCAGGCTCATAAAGTGGGGGCTGTGCCCTCCACATCGCCTGGGGCAGAAGATGGTCAGGGCCAACTCTGAGAAGGCCTGGGACCAGCGCAGCTCCACGCACACATTGGCCCTGGTGAGCATTTCTTGACAAATGGAGCCCCACTGTGGCAGGCTCCCCTCAGCCTCTGCCCCGCAAGGCCCAGTTGAACATCCAAGGCTGAGAGGAGGGGGAGAAGGCGGGAACAGCCACAGGGGTCCTTAGGAGTCACCTCCAACAGACACCCACAGCCAGCTCCGCAGGCTGGAATCATGGAGTCCAGCAGGTCTGGTTTCAGTTTCTTAGACAAGGGACCCACATGCCCAAGCCTAGGTCTCATCTGCACAACGAGGCAGTGTCAGAGCTGTTGGGCTGGTGTGTGGATTGAAGGAGATACATGTACTTAGCAAATGGCCTGACGCATAAGGAGAGCTGGGTTTTATTATCACCCTTGGCCCTCTTCCCCCTTGTGAGAAGCAGGCAGGCCTGGGGCCAGGAAGGCCCCCCATCCCCCACCACCATCTGCACATCAAAGAGTAGGGTGAGCTAAGGGCGGAGGCCAGCCCGGATGATGGTGCTCTGTCCCTCCACCAGCCAGGAGGCTCCCTGGGCCGCCCCAGATTAAGCTCCGCCAGCCACTTTGGGCCAACCCTTCCTGTCGCCAGTACCCAGCGGCCGTGGCTGGCACTTGACCTTCTGGGGACCAGCTGTGGGAGGGGCCGGCCTCACCATCTTGAGTTTCTAATGGGCTCTAGGATCCCTGGACATTGCAGAGGAGAGAGCTGGCCTGCCAGGGAGAAGAGTTTATGCACATTATTTCATTTAGTTCTAAACCGTACCATGAGATAAGGAATATCTTTATGTCAGCTTTACAGATAAGGAAACTGCAGGGCAAGGAGATGAAGTCACAACTCAGTAGAACTGAACTGGAACCACTGTCTGGCTTTACTCCCTGCACAGAAGTGGAAGCCAGTTCTCCATCTGGAGCTGGGGTGGAGTGCGTGACGTCTATACTGCCATGCTTGTGCCGTTACTGGAAAGAGGTCTCGATCCTTGGAGCCCATGCAAGAAAGAATTCAGGGCAAGTCCATAAAATGAAAGCAAGTTATTAAGAAAGGAAAGGAATCAAAGAATGGCTACTACACAGGCAGGGCAGCAGCATGGGCTGCTCAACTGAGTAAACTTAAGAGCTATTTCTTGATTTTTTTTTTCTTTTTTTTTTGAGACGGAGTTTCATTCTTGTTGCCCAGGCTGGAGTGCAATGGTGCGATCTTGGCTCACCACAACCTCCGCCTCCTGGGTTCAAGCGATTCTCCTGCCTCAGCTTCCCAAGTAGCTGGGATTACAGGCATGCACCACCATGCCCGGCTAATTTTGTATTTTTATTAGAGATGGGGTTTCTCGACCCCAGGAGATCCGCCCACCTCAGCCTCTCAAAGTGCTGGGATCATAGGCGTGAGCCACCGCGCCCAGCCTTATTTCTTGATTATATGCTAAACAAGGGGTGGATTATTCATGAGTTTTTTGGGAAAGAAGTGGGGATTTCCCAGAACTGAGGGTTTCTCCCTTTTTTAGACCATACAGGGTAACTTCTGCATATTGCTGTGGCATTTGTGAACGGTCATACGCTGGTGGGAGTGTCTGTTAGCAGCTAAGGTATTATAATCAGCGCATAATGAGCAGTGAGGATGACCAAAGGTCACTTTTGTCACCATCTTGGTTTTGGCGGGTTTTGGCTGGTTTCTTTACTGCATGCTGTTTTATCAGCAAGGTCTTTGTGACCTGTATCTTATGCCGATCTCCTGTCTCATCCTGTGACTAAGAATGCCTAACCTCCTGGGAATGCAGCCCAGCAGGTCTCAGCCTCATTTTGCCTAGCCCCTATTCAAGATGGAATCGCTCTGGTTCAAACACCTCTGACGATGCCACCTGGCAGTGTACAATGCTGGCACTCATCAGGACCTCCATGGCTGATCCTGGAATGCAGTGAGGATACACAGAGCCAGAGGAATGCCTGCAGAGCCTTGGTCAAGGTCAAAGAGCAGGAACCAACTAGAACTCTGGCGGCTGATTCCCTGCCCAGCGCTCTTGCCTGCCCTCAGCACTCAAGTCCAGCAGGAATGGAAGGTGCTGAGGCTCTGTAGGCAGCAGCCTTGGTGGCTCCTCTGACTCAGCCTTTCGAGACTGTGGAGTCAGCATAGCTAACGCAATCTTTCATTTTCTTTTTCCTTTTTTTGTTTTGTTTTTTTTTTTTTTTGGAGACAGAGTCTCACTCTATCGCCTAGGCTTGCAGTGGCACGATCTCGCTCACCGCAACCTCCACCTCCTGGGCTCAAGCGATTTTCCTGCCTCAGCCTCTTGAGTAGCTGGGATTACAGGCGCTCACTACCACGCCAGGCTAATTTTTTGTATTTTTAGTAGAGACGGGGTTTCACCATGCTGGCCGGGCTGGTCTCAAATTCCTGACCTCAAGTGATCACCCCACCTTGGCATCCCAAAGTGCTGGGATTACAGGCGTGAGCCACCATGCCTGGCCTCAGTACTCATTTTATTGAGCACTTACTATGTGCCAAGTATTAAAACCCTGAGAGGTAGGTCTATTATTGTCTCCACTTCACAGTTGAAGAAACTGAGGCTCAGGGAGGTTCCAAAGCTTATCTGTCAGTCTCACTTGGTTACACAGCAAGTAAGAGCCGAGTAGAATGCGCAACCTGGGCCCCAATGCTGTGTGTCTACTCTAACCTTGCCTGGATTTTTCTCATCCTTCCAGCTGTGGCTGACAGCCCCTCGGGACAGCAGGGCCCTAAGGGCAGAACCAGAGCACTTCTGGAAGGTTAGAGGAAGAAGGTACCTCAGCACCACCCAAGATAGTTCCTCCTTTAGGAACTGTGAAAACTGAAGCTCAGAAAGAGTGACTTGCCTGATGCCACAGGGCGTGTCAGAGGCAACGGGCAACCTTGCAGGATGAGAGGGGAAAGCCCCACACGCCAAGAGCTCAAGCCCAGGAAATCAGGCAGCTCATGCTCTGTGCTGCCTCTCCCTTTCTCTCAAGCTGGACTGTTGCAGTGGCCTCCTGCCTGGTTCCATTTCTATGAAGCGGCCGAAGGGACTGAGAGCAGACTTCTTACCAGCTCACCCCCAACTCCCAACCCTCAGTGCTGCCCATCATTCGGGAAACGGAGGCCAAAACCTCATCACCCACCACGTGGAACTCCCCACAAACTTGCCTCCAAGCCCCTTTCCGGCTCTGTTTGCCACTTTTCTCTGTCATCTCTAGACACTAGACGCTTCTGTTTCGACTTGGCTCATGCTGTTGCTCCTGCCTGGACCTCTCTTCCCTCACTCCTCTTGATAAACTCCTGCATATCCTTCAACACCCAGCTCCAAGGTCACCTCTTCTGCACTCTCTCCTCCCTGAGTCAGCAGATACAGAAGGAAGTTACCACCACTGCTGGCTCCCATGCCCACGGGAGCCTTTGCTAATAGATCTTGGCATCCTTTTCCCAAGATCCTGGCAGTGCCTCTTACTCTTAAGACACCGCAATCAAGGCAGCAGGACTAAGGAATCAGGTAACTCAAGAATGAGATGGTACTGCCAACCTCGCCTCCCACCAGGTTACCGCATCCTGGTCCCTAAGCACCTCACACAAACCCCCATCCTTGTGTTTAGGACCTGGGCTCTGATCATTTATTTCCCTGTAATTCACATTAGTTGGGGAATATTTTCTCTCTGGCACCTAACACATGGTGTTATGGGCTGAATTATGTCCCCATAAAATTCCTGTATGGCTGAGCGCAGTGGCTCATGCCTGTAATAGCAGCACTTTGGGAGGCTGAGGCGGCTGAACTGTGTTCCCATAAAATTCCTATGTCTGGCTGGGCGTGGTGGCTCACGCCTGTAATCCCAGCACTTTGGGACGCCTTGGCGGGTGGACCATTGGAGGTTAGGGGTTCAAGACCAGCCTGGCCAACATGGTGAAACCCTGTCTCTACTAAAAGTACAAAAAGTAGCCAGCCATGGTGGCAGGCACCTAGGCCAGCTACTAGGGAAACTGAGGCAGGAGAATCACTTGAGCCTGGGAGGCAGAGGTTGCAGTGAGCTGAGATCATGCCACTGCACTCCAGCCTGGGCGACAGAGTGAGACTCCCTCTCAAAAAAAAAGAAAAAAAAAATTTCCTATGTTTGGCTGGGTGTGGTGGCTCACACCTGTAATCCCAGCACTTTGGGAGGCCGAGGCAGGTGGATCACTTGAGGTCAGGAGTTCGAGACCAGCCTGGCCAACATGGTGAAACCCTGTCTCTACTGAAAATACAAAAATTAGCCGGGCATGGTGGCAGGCATCTGTAATCCCAGCTACTCAGGAGGCTGAGGCAGGAGAATCGCTTGAACCCGGGAGGCAGAGGTTGCAGTGAGCCGAGATTGCACCATTGCACTCCAGCCTGGACGACAGAGCAAGACTCTGTCTCAAAAAAAAAAAAAAAAAAGAAGTTTCTTATGTTTAAGCCCTAACATCCAATACTTCGGAATGTAACTGTGACTGTATTAGAAGAAAGATCCCTAAAAGAGTAAATACAGTTAAATGGGTCCCTTAGGGTAGGTCCTGATCCAACATGACTAGTGCCCTTATAAGAAATCAGGACACAGACAATAGAGACAGATGTGTGACCATGTAGGGGCTCAACGAACAGGCAGTCATCTGCAAGCCACAGAGAGAGGCCCCAGAAGAAACTGAACCTGCCTACACCTTGATCTTGGACTTCTAGCCTCCAGAATTGTGAGAAAATAAATTTCTGTTGTTTAAGCCACCCAGTCTGTGGTTGTTGTTTTTTTAAGTTTTTTGTAGGGACAAGGTCTTGCTATGTTGCCCAGGCTGGTCTCGAATTCCTGGCCTCAAGGGATCCTCCCACCTCAGCCTCTCAAAGTGCTGGGATTACAGGCGTAAGCCACTGCACTCAGCCCGTGGCATTCTAGTATGGCAGCCCTCGCAAACTAATACACTGGGCCTAGCACGTAGGAACCACTCCCAGTATTCTTTGAAGAAAATTTCATGTCATTGTGAAAGAGCCCTAAATGACAGGTCTCTGGGACTGTGGTCTCCCCATTTGGGGCTCCTGTCTGTCTGTCCACAGCTGCATGCACCCACCCCAGCAGTCACCAGGAATGCACCCGAAGAACACAAAAGGGCAGTGGTGATGTGGCTGAGGCAAGTGGGCAGGCCCAAGCTTAGCCCACCTGTGCTACCTTGCACAGCAAGCCAGGTGGAGCTTTTGGCCCTGGAGCTCCAGTGCAATAAATATGGTCAAACTGACAAATGAGGGCCCACCCAAACCTTGGCAGGCCTGGATTAGAGAAGGAAAGAGCAGCAGAACTTGTTCCCCACAGAAGGAAAACATGTTTCCTTTTCCAGAGGCAAGAAAAACCCAGGTTGATGAACAAAAAACAAGGCCAAACCAAATTTTTGTTGTGTGTGTGTGTTTTTTCTTTTTAAGTACAAAAAAATCAAAGCATACAGGGCTCTGGCCAACTGTCACCAAGAAGCAGAGCCTGGGGCCTGCCTCCTACACCCATTCTCCCACCTGTCCCTGCCCAGCTGCCTTTAGGGTAAAGGAGACCCCTTCTTAGAGCAGCTCAGACTGTGCTCTGCAGAGCGCCAGGCATTCTGGGGGTGTCTAGCAGTGGAGGACAGTGCCCCCGCCCTGACTCCATCCAGGGAAGGTACCCGCTATCTATTTCAAACACTGCTTCCCTGAAAGACATCACTTGGAAAAAGGGAGCCTTGGCTAAAGGAGAACATGAAAAGCCACTAATTAACAAATAAGGAGGCACCCAAGCTACAGGACTGATTCCTGGATGGAAAGAGGGAAGCCGAGGCCATTTAGTAGAAGATGCCCAGGCGGGCCCCCTCCAGATCTTCTTGCCAAAGTTCAGGGCAGCCACTGAACCGCAGGCCTGAGCTCTGGGGAGGGCTTGCTTCACTGAGCTGGAAGGCGGCGCCCGGTCCCTGGTCCTCTGAGTTGGGCACCACCTCTGCACTGTGGCTCCAGCACCTCCCGGGGGTCTGAGGCTGCAGTCTCTGGCATGATGGGTGGGGCAGGAGAGATGGAGCTCCCAGCGACAGACAGGGCTCTGGAGACACAGAGAGACCCTGCAAGAGAGATGAGAGCAGCCTGGTTAGTGGGCTACTCCCTGATATCCAGAGATCTTGAATCTGGCTGGTTGCCATGGTATGGCTGGCAGCATCCGGACAGCCCTGGTGCCATGAATGCAGCAAAGCCAAGTGGTTAAGAGGACTGGCTCGGGAGACACTCTGCTAAGGCTTAAATCCCAGTTCTGCTACTCACTAGTAATGAGAACTCAGGTAGCTTCTTTTAGTCTCAGTTTTCTCACCTGTAAAATAGAGATGCTGATAATACCTACTTCCTAGGGTCATTACTGGGGCTGAATAATACATGTAAGGTGCCAAGAATGATGATGGGCACATAGAAAGTGTTCAACAAATTTTGGTTAATATGATTTTTTATGGACGATGAGTCATTCATGAGCCTCATGAATGAACGAATCTTGAAGAAAACTTGAAATCACCAGCTCTAGGCCCATCTACTCAGGAAATGCTGCCCTTACCCTGGGACTTCCTTCCCCCACTGCAGTCTTAATAGCACTTGAAGCCAGCACGCCCACCCTGCTACTTTCCACCCTCTGAGAAAGTCGGCGGGCTCCCCCTCTTTCCCATGGCTGTGAAGACTGCTTGTGGTGACTGTGGAGATGGCCTTAACTTCCCAGGGTCCCATCTCTTCTCCCACGGAGCCGGGGGTTCCTTCCATTCTCCCCTCCGTTAGATAATCCTGGAGTAGATAAGCTGGGATCGAAAAAGTACGAGATTCTCTGCAGACTGGAGGCTGGGGAACACAGCAAGGGCCTCCACACATACCTGGTACACTGCGGCCAGCTCCAAAGTTGCTGGGGCCGCCGTCCAGGGCACTGGTGGGTTCCGGGGCTCTGGGGACGACTGCGTCCAGGGACAGCCTTGGGGTGGCGTCCAAAGAGACGCGTCGGAGGTTGTCCCTTGGGACGAATACGGGGGCGACTGTATCTTGGGGCAGTAAGGGGGTGTTGCCCAGGGATCCGTGTCGTGGACCCCCCTCCCCAGGCGCTCGGGTGCGGCTTGGGCTCCGGGGCAGGCGGACGGGGATCCCCAGGACGCCTCGGCGAGGACGGCGGAGACCAGGCCCGGCCTGCGCCCCTGCCCTTGCCCCTGTCCTTGCCCCTGTCCTTGCCCCTGCCCTTGCCCCTGCCCCTGCCCCTGCCCTTGCCCCTGCCCCTCCGCCTGCGTCTGCGCCTCTGCGGGGCCACGGTCGGGGCACAGCGGGCAGCCCCAAGGGGACCCCGCGTCCCCGCGCTGCCTGCGCCGGCACTGCAGACTCTCCTCGCTGAGACCCAGCACGGCCGATAGGTGGCCGATGTAGCGGATGGCCAGGCGCAGCGTCTCGATCTTGGTCAGGCTCTGGCCGGCCGGCGCCAAGGAGGGAGGCAGAAAGCGGCGCAACTCGTGCAGGGCGCGGGCCAGCGTGCGCATGCGCAGTTTCTCCCGCTCGCTGGCGCTCTGCCGCTGTCCGCCCGCTGGTCCGGTGCGCGCTCGTCTGGGCGTCGTCGCGGCTGCCTCTGCGGCTCGGGAGCTGCAGCTCGGAGGCTGTGGCTGCGGGAGTCCGCGGGCGCCGTCGCAGGGGCACGAACCCGACGAATCGGAGGAGGAGGCCGGGGACGTGGAGTCCCAGTGGCCGGCCCAGCCCCAGCCCTGGGCGAAGATCCAGTGGTCGTGGCCGAGGAGGCTCTGCGGAGGAGGCGACTGGGCCATGGCCGGGCTGCAGGCTCTGGGAGGCTGGGTTGGCCACCTCCAGGCCTGAGCTTTTATGTTGACCAAAGGTGCGAGGTGGCCCCCCGCCAGGTTGCAGAGAGGTGTCAAAACCCACAGAGCCCAGGGAAAGTCTGGGCAGGGGGCCCCTGGGAAAGCGGGCCCATTTGCGGAGGTGTGGATTCTGACTCCTTGGGGGCTCTAAATGGAGGCCCCTGCAGCCCGGGAAGTATGGGAGGGACAATTCGCATCTGGATGGAGCTGCTAAGCTTCTCACCACGCTCCCACCCACGCCCCTGCCCCGTCCACTGCTCACGGTGAGTGCCCGGGAGCCCAACAGAGGCGGGTAGTGCCATGGTCTGTGGGTGCCTCAGGGACCCCGTGAGGAGTGGGTGCCTCTCTCATCACTAACCTCCCGGAGGTCTGTGCCCAGGACGCTGTGCCTACTGTTGTATTAAATAAGGCATCAAGACAAGCCCGGAGGGCCCTGCCCATGGTGGCTGAGGAAGAAGTGCAGGTGGGCCCTTCTGGGGTCCCCAAAATCCACAGTTTCTGATTTGTTGAGTGACACACCAAGAAAGGCATCTCACTGCCCATGGTCTGTATCTACTCTTGAGAAATGGAATAGATTAGGTTGGGGAAGAGGAGTTGGGTACCCTAGGTGATGAAAACCGGCGAAAATGGGTCCCCAAGCCGGCCTCTTTATTGGCTGTGACCTTGGTTAAGTTATTTAGCTCCTCTGAGCCTCAGATTCCCTCATCGGTACCAATAGTGATACAAAATACCTATGCCTAGGATGGTTCCTGGACTAAGTACAGCGATCCCTGTAAAGCACTTAGGCCCTGGCAAGTGAGCTGAAGGTTTGCCATGATCGTTTTATAAAGAAGGTACTGGCCAGGCATGGTGGCTGATGCCTGTAATCCCAGCACTTTGGGAGGCCGAGGTGGATGGATCACCTGAGGTCATAAGTTCGAGACCAGCCTGGCCAACATGCTGAAACCCTGTCTCTACTAAAAATACAAAAACCAGCCGAGTGTGGTGGCAGGCACCTGTAATCCCAGCTACTCGGGAGGCTGAGGCAGGAGAATCGCTTGAACCCGGGAGGCGGAGGTTGCAGTGAGCTGAGATCGTGCCACTGCACTCCAGCCTGGGCGAGTGCGAGACTCCGTCTCAAAAATAAATAAATAAGTAAATAAATAAATAAATAAATAAAATAAAAGGAAAGTACTTAGATTTCAAGGCACTAATGGACTTTATTCATTTAATTCATATTTATTTATTTATTCTCTTTTTTTTGTTTTTGAAACAGACTTGGTCTATCGTCCAGGCTGGAGTGCAGTGGCACCATCTCAGCTCACCGCAACCTCTGCCTCCTGGGTTCAAGTGATTCTTCTGCCTCAGCCTCTCAAGTAGGTGGGACTACAGGTATGCACCATCACGTCTGGCTAATTGTTGTATTTTTAGTAGAGACTGGTTTTTGCCATGTTAGCCAGGCTGGTCTTAAACTCCTGACCTCCAGTGATCCACCCGCCTTGGCCTCCCAAAGTGCTGGGATTATAGGCGTCAGCCACTGCGCCTGGCCGAATTCATATTTAGCAACCAGTAAATGTCGAGCACACAGGGTGAATGAGCTAGTCATGGTCTCTGCTCTAATGAGATTTCAGTCTTGTGGGAAAGAAAAGTGAACAGGCCATTGTATGACAGTAGCTGTATGCCCTTAGGCAGAGCCCTTAACCTGTTTGAGCTTGA